>NC_000009.12:102008430-102159945 GCF_000001405.40 Homo sapiens
CATAGCCATAGTAAAGGACACAGTCATGGTACCTGGGAGAAGTAAATTTGCCCCATCCCCCTCACCTAATGGGACTTGGTGCTAGCTTCCAGCCTAGTGGTCCTGCTTCAGCCTCAACTCATCTGACAGCTGCATCCTCCTGTTGTCTTGGGAAGCCATCTGGATGGCAGGGCAGGTGACCTAACCTACCCCCACCATTGGTGGCCAAGCAGGCAACACATGCTTGAGCTTCCAGCTCAGCAGTCCCACTTATGTATGAACTCAGCCAGAGGACACAGCCTCCTGTTTTCCCTGGAAACACCTGAGCTGTAGTAAGTCTAGCTTGTCTGGCTACTGCTGGTGACCCAGCCACTCCCACCACTAGTAGCCAGGCAGGCTAGGCTTACTGCTAGAGCTTCCAGTCCTGTGGTCCTAATTCTGTGTGAACTCAAACAGTTAATGCAGCTTTCTGTTGTCCTAGGAAATGCCCAGACAGCAGGGCAGGTGACCCTATTTACCCAAACCATTGGTAGCCAGGCAGGCAACATTTGCTAGAGCCTGTAGCTCAGCATTCCCACTTTAGCCTGAACTTTATGGGCAGATGTAATCCCATGTTTCCCTGGTAAGCACTCAAACAGAGAATTAGGGCCAACCTGGCAAGAATATGGCCTGTCTGCCAATTGCAGCTTCTACCTGAGGGAGCCCTGTGGACCAAAACACTCAACAAAAGAAATGTGAGCATGGAGACAGCCAAGACCCAGGAGCAAACCAGAGTCAAAGCCAGAGACTCAACCTATGTTATACCAGAATCAAAACCCCAAGGGAATCAAAGAAGATAAAAGCAAAAAACAACCATACAAACAAACAAAAACACACATTAAAAAAATCCAAAATATAAGAACATCCAAACAACAGCAACTTCAAATATAGAAGAAAAATCAGTCAGCACAGGTGAGAAAGAACCAGTGTAAGAACTCTGGCAACTCAAAAGCCAGAATATCTTCTTACCTCCAAATAACCACACCAGTTCCTTAGCAATGGTTCCTAACACGGCTGCAATGGCTAAAATGTCAGAAATAGAATTCATAATATGGATAGGAATGAAGATCACTGACACTCAGGAGAAAGCAGAATCCAATCCGAGAAATTAAAAAATATCATGAAAGAATATAGGAGATGAAAGGTGAAATGGACATTTTAAAAAAGAACCAAACTGACCTGATAGAGCTGAGAAACTCACTTTAAGCATTCCATAATACAATTGCAAGTATTAACAGCAGAGTAGGCCAAGTTAAGAAAAGAATTTCAGAGCTTGAAGTCTGGTTCTCCAAAATAACCCAGCCAGACAAAAATAAAGAAAAAACAATAAAGAATAATCAACAAAACCTCCAAGAATATGGGATTATGTGAAGTCACCAAATGTATCATACACTCCCTTCCCTGAAAGGGAGGGAGAGAAAGTAAATAACTTGGAAAACATTTGAGAATATCACCAGTGAAAATTTCCCCAATCTTCCTAGAGAGGCCAAAATTCAAATCCTGGAAATGCAGAGAGCCCCTGTGAGATGCTATACAAGATAACCATTCCCAAGACACATAGCAGATTCTCCAAGGCTGAAATGAAAGAGAAAATGTTAAAGGCAGCTAGAGAGAAGGGGCATATCCCTTACAAAGAAAACCCTATCAGGCTAAAACTGGGCCTTTCAACAGAAATCCTGCAAGCCAGAAGAGATTGGAGCTCTTATTAAGCATTCTTAAAGTAAATAAATTCCAACCAAGAATTTCATATCCAGCCAATCTAAGCTTCATAAGTGAAGGAGAAATAAGATACTTTTCAGATAAGCACATGCTAAAGGAATTCATTACCACTAGACCTGTCTTATAAGAGGTCAGTGAGGGAGTGCTAAATTTGAAAAAGACTATTACCAGCCACCACCAAACACACTTAATTACATAGATGAGTAATACTATAAAGCAACCACACCGTCAAGTCTGCATAGTAACTAGCTAACAACATGATGACTGCATCAAACCTGCACATATGAATATTAACTTTGAATGTAAATGGGCTAAATGTCCCAATCAAAAGTCACAGAGTGGCAAGTTTTATAAAGAAGTAAGACCCAACTGTATGCTCTCTGCAAGGGACCCATCTCACTTGCAGTGACACCCATGGGCTCAAAGTACAGGGATTGAGAAAAATCTACCAAGTAAATGAAAAACAGAAAAAAGTAGGGGTTGCTATTCTAATTTAAGACAAAACAGACTTGAAACCAACAATGATTGCAAAAGACAAAGAAGGGCATTACATAATGATAAATGTTTAATTCAACAAGAAGACTTAACTATTCTAAACATATATGCACCCAACAGAGGAGCATCAAGATCTATAAAGCAAGTTTCTTACAAAGAGACTTAGATAACCATGCAGTAATTGTGGGATATTTCAACCCACTACTGACAGTACTAGACAGATCATCAAGGCAGAAAACTAACAAGGATATTCAGGACCCAAACTCGACATTTGACCAAATGGGCCTAACAGACATCTACTGAAATCTTCACTCAAAACCAACAGAATATACATTTTTCTTATCTGCACCTGGCACATACTTGAAAATTGACCACAAAATCAGCCATGAAATACTCAGAAAATTAAAAACTGATATCATACCAACCACACTCTCAGACTACTGCACAATTAAAATAGGAATCAATATTAATAAAATTGCTCAAAACCATATAATTACATGCAAATTAAACAACATGCTCCTGAATAATTTTTGGGTAAATAATGAAATTAAGGCAGAAATCAAAAAGTTATTTGAAAGTAATAATAAGAAAAATACAACATACCAGAATCATTGGAACACAGATAAAGCAGCTGTAAGAGGGAAGTACACAGAGCTAAACACACACATCAAAAAGTTAGAAAGATCTCAAATTAACAACCTAACATCACACCTAGGGGAACTATAGAAATAACAAAAAATGAACCTCAAAGCTAGCAGAAGGTGAGAGATAATGAAAATCAAAACTGAACTTAATAAAAATTGAGATGCCAAAAATACAAAAGATCAACAATTTCAAAAGTTTGGTCTTTGAAATTATATATATATATACATATGTGTATATATATATAGACATCAATCATATATATGTGTGTGTATCTATATATACACACATATATATATGCATGATTGATGGATTGATAGGTAGAATAATAAAGAAGATACAAATAAACACAATCAGAAATGACAAGGGGCCATTAAAATTAACCCTAGAGAAATTTAAAAAAATCCTCAGAGACTACTAAAAACACATGTCTATGCATAAAAACTAGAAAACCTAGAAAAAAAATGGATAAATTACTGGAAACATACAACCTCTTAAGACTGAGCCAGGAAGAAATTGGATCCCTGAACAGACCAATAATGAATTCCAAAATTGAATCAATAATAAAAAGCCTACCAACCAGAAAAATCCCAGGACCAGATGGATTCACAGCCAAATTCTGTCAGATGTATAAAGAAGAGCTGGTAACAGTCCTACTATAATTATTCTAAAACACTGAGGAGGAGTAACTTCTCCCTAACTCATTCTAGGAATCCAGCATCATCCTGATATCAAAACCTGGCAGAGATACAATAAAAAAGGAAAACTTCAGGCTAATATCTTCAATGAACATAGATGCAAAAGTCCTCAAGAAAATATGAGCAAACCAAATTCAGCAGCACATCAAAAAGTTATTCTAGTATGATCAAGTATACTTTATCCCTGGGATGGAAGTTTGGTTCCACATATATAAATCAATAAACGTGATTCATTGCATAAACAGAACTAAAGACAAAAACCACATGGTCATCTTAATATATGCAGAAAAGACTTTCATTCAGGACATAGGCATGGGCAAGGACTTCATGTCTAAAACACCAAAAGCAATGGCAACAAAAGACAAAATTGACAAATGGGATCTAATTAAACTAAAAAGCTTCTGCACAGCAAAAGAAACTACCATCAGAGTGAACAGGCAACCTACAAAATGGGAGAAAATTTTTGCAACCTACTCATCTGACAAAGGGCTAATATCCAGAATCTACAATGAACTCAAACAAATTTCCAAGAAAAAAACAAACAACCCCATCAAAAAGTGGGCGAAGGACATGAACAGACACTTCTCAAAAGAAGACATTTATGCAGCCAAAAAACACATGAAAAAATGCTCACCATCACTGGCCATCAGAGAAATGCAAATCAAAACCACAATGAGATACCATCTCACACCAGTTAGAATGGCAATCATTAAAAAGTCAAAAACAACAGGTGCTGGAGAGGATGTGGAGAAATAGGAACACTTTTACACTGTTGGTGGGACTGTAAACTAGTTCAACCATTGTGGAAGTCAGTGTGGCGATTCCTCAGGGATCTAGAACTAGAAATACCATTTGACCCAGCCATCCCATTACTGGGTCTATACCCAAAGGACTATAAATCATGCTGCTATAAAGACACATGCACACGTACGTTTATTGCGGCATTATTCACAATAGCAAAGACTTGGAACCAACCCAAATGTCCAACAATGATAGACTGGATTAAGAAAATGTGGCACATATTCACCATGGAATCCTATGCAGCCATAAGAAATGATGAGTTCATGTCCTTTGTAGGGACATGGATGAAATTGGAAATCATCATTCTCAGTAAACTATCGCAAGAACAAAAAACCAAACACCGCATATTCTCACTCATAGGTGGGAATTGAACAATGAGAACACATGGACACAGGAAGGGGAACATCACACTCTGGGGACTGTTGTGGGGTGGGGGGAGGGGGGAGGGATAGCATTGGGAGATATACCTAATGCTAGATGACGAGTTAGTGGGTGCAGCGCACCAGCATGGCACATGTATACATATGTAACTAACTTGCACATTGTGCACATGTACCCTAAAACTTAAAGTATAATAATAATAAATAAATTTAAAAAAAGACTCAGTAAAATTCAACATCCCTTCATGTTAAAAACCCTAAACACAGTAGGCTTTGAAGAAATATATTTTAAAATAATGAGAGCCATCTATGACAAATTCTTAGCCAATATCATACAGAATGGGCAAAAGCTAGAAGCATTCCCCTTGAAAACCAGAATAATACAAGGATGCCCTCTCTTACCACTCCTGTTCTACATAGTATTGGAAGTCCTAGTCAGAGCAATTATGCAAGAGAAAGAAATAAAAGGCATCCAAATAAGAGAGAAAGTAAAACTATCTCTGTTTGCAGGTGATATAATTCTATACATGGAAAGCCCCATAGTCTCTTCCCCAAAGCTCCTAGAACTGAGAAACAACTGTAGAAATGTTTCAGGATACAAAATCAATATACACAAATCAGTAGCATTCTTAAAAAACATTCAAGCTAAGAGCCAAATCAAGAACTCAAACCCATTCACAATAGCCACAAAATGAGTAAAATACCTAGGAATACAGATAATCAGGGAGATGAAAGATCTCTACAACAAGAAATATAAAACACTGCTCAAAGAAATCAAAATTGACACAAATGGACAAATATTTCATGCTCATGAATACGAAGAATCAATATTGTTAAAATGACCATATTGCTCACAGTTATTTACAGATTTAATGCTGTTTCTATCAAACTACTGGTGAGATTCTTCACATTATTAGAAAAAACTATTTTAAAATTCATATGGAACCAAAAACAGCTCAGATGGCCAAGGCAATTCTAAGCAAACAGAACAAAGCTGGAGGCATCACATTACTTGACTTCAAATTAAACTGCAAGGCTAGAGTAACCAAAACAGCATGGTACTGGTACAAAAGCATACACATAGACCAATGGAACAGAATAGAGAGCCCAGAAATAATGCTCCATACCTACAATCACCTGATAGTTGACAAAGTTGACAAAAACAAGCAATGGAAAAAGAAATCCCTATTCAATAAATGGCTCTAGGATAACCAATTAGCCATATGCAGCAAATTGAAACTGGATACCTTCTTTACACTATATACGAAAATAAACTCAAGATGGATTAAATACTGAAATGTAAAACCTGGAACTATGAAACTCCTAGAAGAAAACGTAGGAAATACCATTCTGGACATAGGCCCTGGCAAAGATTTCATGACAAAGATGCCAAAAGCAACTTCAACAGAAAAAAAGTAGTGACAAATTGGACCTAATTGAAGAGCTTCTCCTCACAGCAAAAGAAACTATCAACAGAGTAAACAGAGCCCTCAGAAAGGAAGAAAATATTTGCAAACTATGTATCTGACAATATCTACTATCCAGAGTGTATAAAGAACTTAAATTTGCAAGAAAAAAACGTTAAAAAGTGGGCAAAGGACATGAACAGACACTTTTCAAAAGAAGACATTCACATGGCCAGCAAGCATATGAAAAAGTGCTCAATGCCACTAATCATTAGAGAAATGCAAATCAAAATGACAGTAAGATACCATCTTACATCAGTCAGAATGGCTATTACTGAAAAGTCTAAAAAATACACAGATGCTGGCAAGATGTCGGAGAAAAGAAAACACTTAAACACTGCTGCTGGGAATATAAATTAGTTCAGCCATTGTGGAAAGCAGTTTGGCAGTTTCTCAAAGAACTTAAAACAGAATTGCCACTTCACCCAGCAATCCCATTATTGCGTATATTTCCAAAGGAACATAAATATTTCTACCATAAAGAAATATGCATGTGTATGTTTATTGCAGCATTATCCACAATATCAAGGAGATGAAATTAACCTAAATGTCTATCAATGGTAGACTGGGTAAAGAAAATGTGGTACATATTCACCATAGAGTACTATGCAACCATAAATAATAAGATCATATCCTTCGCAACAACATGGATAAAGCTGGAGGCCATTATTCTAAGTGAGCTAACAGAGGAACAGAAAACCCAATACTACATATTCTCACTTATATGTGGGAGCTAAACATTAAGTAGACATGGACAAAAGAAATAAACAGTAGTCACTGGGGTCTACTTGAGGGTGGCGGGTGGGAAAAGGATGAGGATCCAAAAACTACCTATCAGGTACTATGCTTATTACCTGGGTGACGAAATAATCTGTACACCAAACTCCTGCAACATGCAATTTATCTATAAAGCAAACCTGCATGTGTAGTCCTGATCTCAAAAATAAAATTAAAAAAATAAATAAAAATAGAAACAACAGCAGCCAAAAAAATTGGCATTTTCTCATAAAATTGAATACATAATTACCATATATCCTAGAAATCTTATTCCTAGATATTTACCTTAGAGAAATAAAAAGTTACTTTCACACACAATCTGTATAAAGTGTTTACAAAAGTTTCATTAATAATTTCCAAAAACTGGATATAACCCAAATGTGCTTCAGTAGGTGAATGGATAAAAAAATTGTGGCATGTCTACATAATTGAATGCTAATCAGCACTGAAAAGGAATGAAATACTGATACACATAAAACTTGGATGAATTTCAAAATCTTTAAGCTATATCAAATAAACAAGTCTTGAAAAGTTACATGCTATATGATTCCATTTACAAAATATCCTGGGAAAAGCAATATTATAGTAAAAAAGAGATTATCAGTGACTGCCACAGATAGGGAGTGGGCATGAGTACAAAATGATGGTATGAGAGTCTCTTGGGCTGTTAGAACAGTTGTTTATCTTGATTGTAATGGAAATTACATGAATTTATACATATATTAAAATTCATAGAACTGTACATACAAAGACAATTTCATTATATGATAAAAACTAAAATTTTCTCCTATGTTATCTTTTAGGAATTTTGTAATTTTATGTTTCACATTTAGATCTGTCATCCATTATTTATTAATTGATTTTAGTTGACAAAAATACTGTATATATTTATCATTATAATGTGATTCTTTGAAATATATATACATTGTAGAATAGCTCAATTGAGCTATTTAACATAAGCATGACCTCAAATACTTATTTTTTTGTGGTGATAACACTTTAAGTCTCTCTCATTTTCAAAATACAATACATTTTTATTAACTGTACTCCATTTTGACTTAATTTTTGTGAAGAATGTAAAGTTTATGTTTAGAATCTAGATGATCTTGAATTTGGTGATGACTTTTTATATACAACACACGAAATAAGGAATTGATAAGCTGGGTTTTATTAAAACTAAAAATTTCTGACCTATGAAGGACACTGCCAAAAAAATAAAAAGATAGGCTACAGATTGGGAGAAAATATTTGCAAAAGGCATATCTAAGAAGACTGTTATCCATCATATACCAGAAACTCTTAAAACATGACAATTAAAAACCAAACAACCCACCTATGACAGGAAGGGGAACATCACACACCGGGGCCTGTCGTGGGGTGGGGCGGGGGGTTGCATTAGGAGATATACCTATTGTAAATGACGAGTTAATGGGTGCAGCACACCAACATGGCACATGTATACATATGTAACAAACCTGCACGTTGTGCACATGTACCCTAAAACTTAAAGTATAATTAAAAAAAAACCCAATTAAAAAATAAGCCAAAGATACCTCACCAAAAAAGCTATATAGATGACAAATAAGGATATGAGAAGATGCTGCATATCATATGTCATCAGGGAAATGTAAATTAAAATGACAATTGGATACCACTGTACACATATTAGAATGGCTAAACTTCAGAGCACTGACAACGTTGAAAACTGGCAAGGATGTGGAGTAACAGGAATTCTCATTCTTTACTGGTGGGAATTTCAAAATGATACAGCTACTATATTCACTATTAACATCTAACAAATTAAACAAGTAATAAAATATAAACCCTAAGGCCTCAAGATATGTGAATGAACTATATTCTTTGAACAAGTAGGAATCTTAAAGTGTACTGTAACAGTTTACCAGGATGACTTTATGTTGGAGAAAGCTAAAGACCCAGACCTTCTGGGGATTATTGGATGCCAACTCTTAATGTACTTTAATCACTAGAAACCAGAAGTTCTCTATGCTTCACCAGTTACAGTAGGGTCCCGTGGAGATCAGAGGATGGATGAAGTTTTGGCCCAATTTTGTTTCACAGGGTTTTGTGGGCCTAACTACAACACTCTAGTTGTTTCTCCACTTTCAAAATGTATAATGGAAACAGATGTGCTTAGTTAACTGCAGAATTCTTACATTAATTTTTGAGGGATGGAGGGAGGGCCTCTTCACAATGTCATTATCTTCACTGATCATTGCTATATCACAAGGAAACAAAGGTCAACCTCTTTGGTGGCCCTTCAACTCTAACTGTTACCTTCTCAGCCATGATAGAGCTGCAAGATCCAGTTCTTTGCTTTTTTTGTGGGGGATTGTGCCTTGTATCTGGTTGCTATATGGCCTTATGGGAAATATTGATAAAGAAAGTCAAGCTCGCTTCAATGTGTTTTCATTTAGTAGCCTTCTAAAATTTTGAAGCATCAAGTTCTGAAGGTCATGGTCATACTCCAGTGCTGGGACTTTAAAGAGCCTAGGTATTTTCTTTAAAAGTCAACTTTTGTAACTGTTCCTGGAAGGTTGTTTGAGGAATTTTTAAATGCCAGGAAAATTTACTTTTTGTTATAAAAGTAAGTAGAACAGTGCATCCGTTCTTATCTGTTGATTAGCAGAAGTTGCTGTATGGATGTCACATGGATGCCCTCAATCCACTGAGTATTGGCTGAATAGCTTCCCCACACTGTGACTGCCATCACACTAGCTCTGTAGGCTCTCCCGTCTCTTGCCAGTATTTGCCTGCAAGCTGCCAGTTTTGAAGGGGGGCAGCACAAGGAAAACCTTAAAACAGGTTCAGGCTGTAGTGCAAGCTGCCCAGCCACTTGGGTCCTTATGACTCAGTACATCCAACTGGAAAGATCTGCAGCAAACAGAGATGCTCTATGGAGCCTCTGACAATTACTAATAAAGTCTCTAGGGTTTTGGAATAAGTCATGTCTTCTTCTGCAAACAACATACTCTTAATTTGAAAGCAGTTGAATGTTTAGAGCAGCTGAAAGGCTGCATACACAATTACTGGACACCAAATAACTACTTGAGTCAAACTAATCATGAAATGTGTCTTAGTAATTTATTGAACCTTACAATTGGACATGTACTTTAGCATTTCACTGTAAAATAGAAATATCATACAGGAGTCAGTGCCCTAGCAAGTGCAGAAGGTTCCAGGAAATAGCACAAGCAGGTACAGCTTTCCATGGCACCTGCTCGCATTGCTTTACAGCCTCACCACAATCCTCATCCCATGAGGAATGACTTACCATGTGTCAATGGATACCAAAAGTAAAAAATTGAATTACAGATTGATTTACATGCTTTGCAGGCACCTGCCAAAGTGGATGGTTGCTGCCTCATGTCTATATTCAAGCATGACCCCCCAAATAGTTGATTTCCAGTTGGCATATCTCTGGATGTCACATTCGTTTGTCTACTTCATGTGGAAAGAACGATTGACTGAGATGTGTATTACAGTGCCTCATGGAAAGAGGCAATCCTTTGTCTGTTGAGGAATTACCAAGATCAAGATTTAAAAAAAATTGGTGATAATGAGGTCTCAAGAAGAAATATGTGGATGGTCCTCTCCTATTGGGTATATTTGTATTCTACATAAATGCTACAAGAGGGCATTTATTACTAGAGGAGAAACTAACAAGGTAAACATGACAAATTGTTGTGTGGATGTCATCTTCTCATGCCCTCTGTCTTCTGATGCTTTCTCTATGTGTCTGTCTAGAAGGTGGCCATAGTGGCAGAGATTAAGGCTGTGGAAGATGCTGCCTGTGTGCTCTGCCAATATGCCTTGAACCCTACATTTTCAATATGTTTAGATGACTTCAAACTGCCGGCATCTGCATCTGTGTCTAAGCATTTTTTCCTGGCCATTATTTTCCATACATGCATCACACCCAGATTTCCTGGGAAATTAATACCACTAGGATCGGACTTCAACCACTGACTTACGGGAGAGTTAATGCATAAATACCTCAGCTTCCTCATATTGATATGGGTTGGTGCTGAGGTATATGTTTTACACTTTTCCTCAGAGGTTCTCCTTGAATTAAGCCCGCTTGCCCACTGTGGTAGCTGGCATAGTAACTCAGCACTTATTGGCTGTCCTCTTTTCCCCGTATCACTTTATCATTCCGCTGCTTGTTTTCACTGGAGTCCCAAATAAACCTCCTGCATTACAACCATTTTATTAGTATACGTTTCCAGTGCAATTGAGGCTGGCTACTCCTACTTCTGAGTGCCCAACATTCCAACAACAGAGACCAAGGCTGAATCTGTAATATGTCACCATTTCCTATAGATTCCAGTAAGTTCCCTCATAATGATGATTACATTAAACCCGGTCCATCATACAGGGCAAGACAATATAGCCTCACAGAGTGAAAAGATATTTCTGGTAAGTATTTGCAGTCTAAACAAAAAGCTCTTCCACCAGCATCATACTTAGGACTTTATGGAATATGTAACCCATTGTATGGTATTCTCATAAAACAACATCTCTGACCAAGGGCATACTAAGGAATGATGGCAGTGGCTCACAGCCATCGAATTCATTAGTCTTTCTCTGTGCTCCACTAATAAGAAGAAGTTAGATTGATATTATGATGAAATTTTGTTGAAGATTTAACTAATGGCATTAGCTGGGAGATAATATCATGAGATAGAGATACTAACCTAAAAGGTTCAGTAATATGTCTTAGACCAGTGCCCGGTTATCTCATACCCAGAATGTACAGGTCGGACAAGAGATGAAAATATGTGTGACTACTCTAAATAATGTACTTTATAACACTTGAAGATGATTGTTGCCTGCTTTGACATTTTTAGGCATTGATCAGTTTTCAGGTCCTTGTGTACAAGGGAGGATTTTTTTTTCCCCCACTGTAGGACAGAATCATGGGTCTACTTAATTGGATGCTGACAATACCACCTGCAATTTTAGGTTCCTCATTCTGCTGTACCAATAGTTAAAGAAGGAGTCAGTGTTCTTGACTCCTATAACAAAGTAGGAATGTGGTTTCTGGTATACAATGAGGGCAAGGAAGACTATTTCTAAAACACGGGAGATTCATTGAGACACCTTTTAGTATTCTCTTGACAAACTGTTGTTGTCAATGAAAAACTAAAGCAAAGTGCTGTGGGTGATTAAAGATTGCATGGATTGGGTGGTAGAAATAGATAGCTGTGATTAACTTAGGCTTAATGATCTGCAACAGAAGCAGGTACTGAAACACATTTGTTTTATGTAAATTACTTTTTCTTACCGCCACCTACTTTTCTCACATTATCCTATATAAACAGCATTGCTGGCACCTATTATAAAATATTTGGTTTCAGATAGAAATCCAACCAAATTGAAATGATCTCATGATGATGTGAAAGTTGAAGGAAATTTTGCTGTACTTTATTTTGAAGATAGAAAATTTTACTTGAAAAAAGGACAATAAATTAATCTTAGAGGCAAAAATAGTAATGACACTCTGGTTGTCATCTGAGGTGTCCCTAAACTACTCAAGCATTTGTAAGAATATTTTTAAAACTCTTCTCATATACTCAGTTTGAGTATACATCTGCCATCTATTTCTTGCTTGAACCTTGGTGAATGCACTGTTGAAGTCATACTTTCAGAAGAAGAGTATGTTTAGGTTACATAAAATGTTAAACTGCCACTAAGATACAACATAGTTTATTGCATTAGACCAATGTTTTTTAAAATTTTTATCACCATGTTTTATACTCCCTTTTTCTACAGAAAATTACTTACTGAACTCTATCACAGATCTTTTTTGTTTTGTTTTTAGTTTTACAGGTTCCTTATATGTGTTTTATCTTCTAGATTATAGATAATATTAAAGGCATGTTTTATGTCTTACACGGATGTTCATAAAATAATATAATCCAGTATTATATACTGGTATGTACTAAATAAAGATTTATGATATAAATTGCATTATTCTTAAAACATAGTAAATAGAATGAGGTGTATTAGGAGGAATAAATCTTAAAATAATGAGCTCAACAGTTTCTCCAATATAGAATGCTTTTGTTCTGAACAAAAGAAACAACTCATGGAACGTCTCTATTGTTTAGAAACACTGCCACACTGACTTAGAATATTGTTATCAAAGTGATGTGAACATTAACAACTTTCAGTAGCCATTAAGAAATGTGAAAGATGATTAATGTATTTTACTAATAAAACTTATTTAAAGATTCAGCAAAAGAATGAGGAGTTCAGTATAAAAAGAATTTTACATTGTTTGATGAGTTTATCCTTATTTAGTCATTTTTTTCTTCCAGGCCCCAGAGTATAATAAATACATCCAGGTAGAATAAACTGACACAAGCCATTTCCAACTTTCTTTGGTTTCATTTTGATATAATCCCACTAGTCTTCAAGTTCTTCCTTACTTTCTGAAACAAAAGTATATACTAAGTTAGTATTATACTCTCCCTGTCCCAGACCTATAATCAACTATTCTCCAAGGAATTTTTAAGTGGAGAATGGTGCTATTTGAACATCATTGCTTCTAAACCTCTCAGTGAATATATACACATGTACATATAATATTATATAGAATATATATCTTCATACATAGTATATATAATCATGAATTTGTATCAATATCCTGCATTTATATCTAATATTACAGCTTCCTCCCCAACTTGCATTTCTTGTGAAAAAGTTTTCCCACTTTTATTTTAGGTTCAGGGGTACTCGTGCAGGATGTGTAAGTTTGTTACATAGGTAAACGTGCTATTGTTTTGTGCTGCACAGATCATTACCTATCACTTATCATCCTATCCCGTCACCCAGATTATCCCAACACCCAGCTAATGGAAGCCTAGCATCCATTAGCTATTCTTCCTGATGCTCTCCATCCTCTCATCCCCCTGACCCTCCAACAGGCCCCAGTGTGTGTAGTTCCCACCCCTATGTGTCCATGTGTTCTCATCATTTAGCTTCTACTTCTAAGTGAGAACATGGAGTATTTGATTTTCTGTTCCTGCATTAGTTTGCTAATTATAATGGCCACCAGCCCCATCCATGTTCCTACAAAGTACATGTTCTCATTCCTTTTTATGGCTGTATGGTATTTCATGGTGCATATGTACCACATTTTCTTTATCTGGTCTGTCACTGATGGACATTTAGGTTGATTCCATTTTACTCCACATAGTCTTCGCTATTGTGAATAGTGCTGCAATGAACATACACATGCATCTTTCTTTATGGTAGAACTATTTATATTCCTTTAGGTATATATTTAGTAATGGAATTACTGGGTCAAATGGTTCTTCTCCTTCTAGATCTTTGAGAAATTGCCACACTTTCTTCCACTATGTTTAACCAATTTAAACTAACAAGACCCATTTTAAATGTGTTTCCTTTTCTCCACAACCCTGCCAGCATCTGTTGTTTTTCTAATACTGTGGTTTATTTAATATTTTAATAATAGCCATTCTGACTGGTGTGAGATGGTATCTCATTGTAGTTTTGATTTGCATTTCTCTAATGATCAGTGATGCTGAGCTTTTTTTCATATGTTCATTGGCCGTGTGTATATCTTCTTTTGAGTTGTGTCTGTCCATGTCCTTTGCCCACTTTTTAATGGGATTGTATGTTTATTCTTGTAAATTTGTTTAAGTTCCTTATAGATGCTAGATATTAGACCTTTGTCATATGGATTGATTGAAAACATGTTCGTCCATTCTGTAGGTTGTCTCTTTACTCTGTTAATAATCTCTTTTGCTGCGCAGAAGCTCTTTTGTCTAATTAGATTCTGTTTGTCAATTTTTCCTTTTGTTGAAATTGCTTTTGGCATCTTCTTCATGAAATCTTTGCCCATGCCTATGTCCTGAATGGTATTGCCTAGGTTTTCTTCTAGGGTTTTTATATTTTTAGGTTTTACATTTAAGTCTTTAATCCATCTTGAGTTGATTTTGCATATGATATAAAGAGGGCTCCAGTTTCAATTTTCTGCATATGACTAGCCAGTTCTCCTAGCACAATCTGTTAAATAGGGAATGTTTTCCCACTGCTTGTTTTTTGTCAGATTTGTGGAAAATCAGATGATTGTAGGTGTGCAGTCTTATTTCTGGGTTATCTGTTCTGTTCCATTGGTCTATGTGTCTGTTCTTGTACCAGTACCATGCTGTTTGGTTAACGTAGCCCTCCAGTATAGTTTGAAGTCAGATTGTGTGATGCCTCCAGCTTTGTCTGTTTGCTTAGGATTGCTTTGGTTATTCAGACTCTTTTTTGGTGTAATGTCAAATTTAAAATAGTTTTTTTTTTCTCTAATTCTGTGAAGAATGCCAATGGTAGTCTTATGTGAATGGTATTGAATCTGTAAATTGCTTTGGGCAGTATGACCATTTTCATGATATTGATTCTTCCTATCCATGAGCATAAAATGTTTATACATTTGTTTCAGTCAATTCTGATTTCTTTTAGCAGTGGTTTGTGGTTCTCCTTGAAGAGGTCCTTCACCTCCTTGTTAGCTGTATTTCTAGATATTTAATTTTTTTGCGGCAATTGTGAATGGGGGTCTATTTGTGATTTGGCTGTCTGCCTGCCTGTTGCTGGTGTATAAGCATGCTAATGATTTTTGCACATTGATTTTTGTATCTTGAGAATTTGCTGAAGTTTATCAGCTTAAGAAACTTTTGGGCTGAAACGTTAGGGTTTTCTAGATATTGGATCATGTCATCTGCAAACAGATATAGTTTGTTCCTCTCTTCCTATTTGAATACCTTTTATTTCTTTCTCTTGCCTCATTGCCCCAGACAGAACTTCCAATATTATGTTGAATATGAGTGGTGACAGAGGGCAACCTTGTCATGTACTGGTTTTCAAGGGCAATGATTCCAGTTTTTACCCATTCAGTATGATATTGGCTGTGGATTTGTCATATATGGCTCTTATTATTTTGAGAGATATTTCTTCAATACCTAGTTTATTGAGAGTTTTTAAAATGAAGGGATGTTGAATTTTATTGAAGGCCTTTTCTATGTCAATTAAGACAATCATGTGGTTTTTGTCTTTAGTACCATTTATGTGATGAATCACATTAATTGATTTGCATATGTTGAACTAAACTTACAGTCTGGGGATGAAACCTACTTGATTGTGGTGAATATGCTTTTTGATGTGCTGCTGGATTCTGTTGCTAGTATTTTGTTGAGAATTTTTGCATCAATGTTCATCAGGGACATTGGCCTGAAGTTTTCTTTTCATTTGTATCTGTGCCAGGTATAGATATCAGGATGATGCTGGCCTCAGAGAATGAGTTAGGGAGAAGTCCCTCCTTTTGAATTTTTTGGAATAGTTTCAGTACGAATGGCACCAGCTCTTCTTTGTACGTCTGGTAGAATTCAACTGTGAATAAATCTGGTCCAGGGTTTTTTTTTTTTTTTTTTTTTTTTTTTTGGTTGGTAGGATATTTATTACTTCTCAATTTTATAACTCATTTTTGGTCTGTTCAGGGATTCAATTTCTTCCTGGTTCAGTCTTGGGAGGGAGTATATGACTAGGAATTTATCCATTTCTTCTAGATTTTCTAGTTTATGTGCATAGAAGTTTTCATAGTATTGTCTGATGGTTGTTTGTATTTCTGTGGGGTCAGTGGTGATATCTCCCTTATCATTTTTGATTATGTTTGTTTGAAACTTCTCTGTTTTTTTCTTTATTAGTCTATCTAGAAGTCTATTTTATTATTTCTTTTTTTTTCAAAAAACAGCTCCTGGATTTATTTATTTTTGAAGGGATTTTTGTGTGTCTATCTCTTTCAGTTCAGCTGTGATCTTGGTTTTTCTTGTCTTCTGCTAGTCTTGGAGTTTATTTGCTCTTGGTTCTCTAGTTCTTTTAGTTGTGATCTTAGGTTGTTAAGTTGAGATCTTTTTAACTTTTTGACGTGAGCAATTAGTGCTATAAATGTCCCTCAACTCCGTATCCCAGAGATTCTGGTACATTGCATCTTTTTCTCATTAATTTCAAAAAATTTCTTGATATCTGCCTTAATTTCATTATTTAGCCAAAAGTGATTCAGGAACCCATTGTTCAGTTTCCACGTATTTGTATGGTTTTGAGTGAATTTCTTAATCGTAAGTTCTAATTTGATTGCACTGTGGTTCAAACGACTGTTTATGATATCAGTTCCTTTGCATTTGCTGTGAAGTGTTTTACTTCTCATTATGTGATCAATTTTAGAGTAAGTGCTATGTGGCAATGAGAAGAATAAGTATTCTGTTGTTTTGGGGTGGAGAGTTCTGTGGATGTCTATCATGCCCTTCTTGTTCCAGAGCTGAGTTCAGGTCCTGATTAACTTTGTTAATTTTCCATATTGATGATTCATCTAATATTTTCAGTGGGGTGTTAAAGTCTTCCACTACTATTGTGTGGAAATCAAAGTCTCTTTGAAGGTCTCTAAGAACTTGCTTTATGAATCTTAGTGCTCCTGTATTGGGTAGATATATATTTAGGATAGTTAGCTTTTCTTGTTGAATTGAACCCTTTACCATTATGTGATGCCCTTCTTTGTCTTTTTTGGTCTTTGTTGGTTTAAAGTCTGTTTTGACAGAAGCAAGGATTGCAACCCCTGTTTTTTTTCTGTTTTCCGTTTGCTTGGTAAATTTCCCTCCATCTTTTTATTTTGAGCCAATGTGTGTCTTTGCATGTGAGATAGTTCTCTTGAAGACAGCATACCAATGGGTCTCGATTCTTTATCCAGCTTGCCACCCTGTGTCTTTTAATTGGGGCATTTATCCCATTTACATTTAAGGTTAGTATTGTTATGCATGGATTTGATCCCGTTATCAGGAAGCTAGCTGGTTATTTTGTAGACTTGTCTATGTGGTTACTTCATGGTGTCACTGGTCTGTGCACTTCAGTGTGTTTTTATTGTGGCTGGTAATGGTTTTTCCTTTCCATATTTAGTGCTTCCTTCAGGAGCTCTTCTAAGGCAGGTCTGGTGGTAATGAATTCCCTCTGGATTTGCTTGTCTGAAAAGGATCTTATTTCTCCCTCACTTATGAAGGATAGTTTGTCTAGATATAAAATTCTGGGTTGGAAATTTTTTCCTTAAGATTGTTGAATATTGGCCCCCAATCTTCTGGCTCATAGGATTTCTGCTGAGAGGTATGCTGTGAGTCTGGTGGACTTTCCTTTGTAGGTGACCTGGCCTTTCTCTCTGGCTGCCCTTAACATTTCTTCTTTCATTTCAACCTTGGAGAATCTGATGATTATGTGTCTTGGGGATGATCTCTTGGAGTATCTTATGGGGGTTCTCTGCATTTCCTGAATTTGAATGTTGTCCTGCCTTGCTAGGTTAGGAAGTTCTCCTTGATAATATCCTAAAGTATATTTTCCAAATTAGTTCCATTCTCCTTGTCTTTTTCAGGTGCCCCAATCAGTTGTAGATTTGATTTCTTTACATGATCCCATATTTCTTGGAAGTTTTATCCATTCCTTTTTATTATTTTTACCTCTATTCTTTTCTGCCTGTCTTATTTTAGGAAAATAGTCTTCAAGCTCTGAAATTCTTTCCTCTGCTTGGTCTATTCTGCTATTAATACTTGCGATTGCATTGTGAAGTTCTTTCTGTGTGTTTTTCAGCTCTGTCAGGTCAGTTATGTTCCTCTCTAAACTGTCTATTTTGGCTCTCAGCTCCTGCATTGTTCTATCATACTTCTTAGCTTCTTGGCATTGGGTTACAACATCATTCTTTAGCTCACATAACTTCGTTTTTGTTCATATGTTCAACCCTACTTCTGTTATTTCAGCCATCTCAGCCTCAGCCACATTCTGAGCCCTTGATAGAGAGGCGTTGCAGTCATTTGGAGCAAAAGGGGTGCTCTAGATTTTTGATTTTTCATTGTTTTTGCGTTGATTATTTCTCATCTTTGTGGGCTTATCTACCTCTGATCTTTGAGGTTACTTCTTTGGATGCAATTTTTTGTGGTTTGCTGTTATTGTTGCTGTTGTTTTCTGTTTGTTTCTTTTCCTTTTGACAGCCTGGCCACTCTTCTGTAGGGCTGCTGCTGTTTGCTGGGGGTCTGTTCCAGACCCTAGTCACTTTGACTTTTCCTGTACCTGGAGGTATTGCCCTTGAAGGCTATGAAACAGCAAAGATGGCAGCCTGCCCCTTTTTCTGGAAGCTCTATCCCAGAGGGTTACTAACCTGTTGCTGCCCTAAATGTGCCTGTAGGAGGTGGCTGGAGACCCTAGTTGGGAGGTCTCATCCAGTCAGGAGGAATGGGATCAGAGACCCACTTAAGGAAGCAGTCTGGCTACTTTTTGGTAGAGCAGCTGTGCTGTGTTGGGGATCTGTTCAGCCCCCAATCCATTAGAGCTCTCCATGGCCCACAGACTGGACCGGCTGACATGCCTTAACAGAGAAGGTGGCAGCCTGCCCCACCCCACTGGCACTGCAGCCCAGGGAGTAATTAGAACTCTGTCAGCTATAGAACATGGATGGGGATGGGTGGAGGCCCTAGCTGTGAGGACTTGCCCCATGTAGAAGAGTGGATTGCAGTCCCATTTAAAGAAGCAGTCTGGATATGCCTCAACAAAATAGTCATACCATGCTGCGGAACCGTCTATATTAGTCTGTTTTTATGCTGCTGATAAAGGCATACCCAAGACGTTATAATTTATAAAGAAAAAGAGGTTTAGTTGACTCACAGTTCCACGTGGCTGAGGAGGCCTCACAATCATGGTGGAAGGCAAAAGGCACATCTCACAAGGCAGCAGGCAAGAAAGAATGAGAGCCAAGTGAAAAAGTAAACCCCTTAAAAACAATCAGATCCCATGAGATTTATTCACTACCATGAGAATAGTATGGGGGAAGCTGACCTCATGATTCACTTCAATTATCTCCCACCAGGACCCTGCCACAACACACCTGAATTATGGGAGCTACAATTCAAGGTGAGATTTGGGTGGGGACAGAGCCAAACCATGTCACCATGTCTGCCCCCATCTGCTTGGACTGTCCAAAGCCCACAGTCTGCAATGGCTGAGTTGTCCAATCAACCAAGGTGACAGCCTCCCCTCCCCTGGGCACTGTGTCCCAGGGAGAGATCGGAGATCTGTCCATAGAATACATGTGGGTGGGAGTGGCTGGAAACCCTGGCTGGGAGGTCCTGCCCAGTGAGGAGCAATGGATCAGGCTCCTGCTTAAAGAAGCAGTCTGGGCCATATTCTGGTAAAGAAGCTGTGCTGCACTGGGGGGACCCTTCCTCACCTGGATGGTTAAGGACTCCCCAAAGCCCACAGGCTGAAACGGCTGAGTTGACAAAACAGCAGAGATGGTGACCGGTCCCTCCCCCCAGGGACTGTGTCCTATCTCAGGCAAGTTCCACTGTGTTGCCAGTGGCTGGCCGGAATTCCAACACAGTGGGTCTTATCTTGTGAGTGCCATGGAAGTAGGGCCTGCAGACTGACGCTGCTTGAATCCATGGATTTGGCCCCCTTTCTAGGGGTATGTATGGACCTCCTGGCTTGCCTGAGTTGCAGATACCTTTGATGGAGATCCTTGGCCTGTGGTATGTAAAGCTCCTGGTTGTCTGTGCACATCTGAGCAGCTGCTGTGTGTTGGACCCAAGGCTGCAGTGGCATGGGCTCACTGGGGGTCTCCTGATCCAGGGGTTTCAAAGATCCGTGGGAGAAGCATGGTTATTCAGGGTCACACAATCACTCTTTTTTCCCTTGGTGAGGGTGGGGGTTCCCTTGGCTTCCTGTCACTCCTGGATGGGCCGATGCCCCATCCTGCTTTTCTTCGTTCTCCATGAGTCTAGTTGTTTCCCTGATCAGTCCCAATGCCAGTACCTGGATATTTCAATTGAAGGTGCTGTATTCACTTGCTCCTTTAATTCCTCTCCATGAATGCCATGGACTGCAGCTGCTTCTAATTGGCCATCTTGCCCACCATCTGTATTTCTTATTGATAACTTTCTTGTTCCTTGGTGAATACCTGAAATCCCAATCACATCAATACATTTACTCATTTGCTTAATTCTACAGTGCTAATCACATCAATACATTTACTCATTTGCTTAATTCTACAGTGCTAATCACATCAATACATTTACTCATTTGCTTAATTCTACAATGCTAATAAAATAGCTTCACAATACTATACCAATACCATTACTTACAGTGAACTACTAATTAATATCTATGGACTCTGAGTTATTTTTATCCTTCAAATACATTTCAGTTAAGGTGTACAGTCAGACTACTATGTTTTGTGGTTATCAGTTTGATAACAGATACACTCATTTTTCTTTACCTATTTTTTTAAAAACAAAGGATAAAAAATCATTTTGACTTAGTTTTTAGAGTTTGTAAAATATATTTTCAAAATTCAAAAGTATATACAAGGATATACTTAGATAAGGTTTTTCCCACTTTTTTACTCTTCCACCCTTTTTCCCCTCATCCCCTACAGGTAACCATTTTCTTGTTTCTTATTCTTTATACGTTTCTTTTGGTTAAAAGAAATAAACAAATGGGTATATATAGCCTTGCTTTTTCTTACACAAAAAGTAAGAAATAAAATATTATTTACTAGTTTTAAAATCTGTGCTGCAGTGTTATTTAGGTATCTTTTTTATTTTTAAAGCTCTCCATATGTGATTTTTTCCTTCTCTCCCAAAACCATCTTTTGCTTTTGTTGTTCCTATTCATACTTTTAATTTTTTCCTTTACTTATGTTCTTCATAAGAAAATGTTATGCAGATTTTATGCATCTACTGGGATGATAATGTCATTTTCTTAATTTTTCGGTTTATTGAAAACATTAATGTACGCTATAATGAAAAACAATTCGTAGATTATTGAAGTAAGCCATATTTGGTTATCAGTAATTTTTAAAAACATTTCTGAATTGTTGGTATATGACAGACATTCAAAAATAAGATTAATCAATATTTGCTTTGCATTGTCTCATTTTTTTAATTTTGAATTTTTATGGATACGTAAACTTTTATAGTTGTACATATTTATGGGGTACATGTGATATTGTATAATAATGAAATGTGGAATGATAAAATCAAGGTAATTGGGATATTTATCACTGCATGCATTTGTCATTTCTTTGTGTTAGGAACATTCCAGTTTAATTCTTTCAGTGATTTTGAAATATATATCAAATTATCATTAACTATAGTCACCCTATTCTGCTACCAAAAACTAGGTCTTATTCTTTCAGTCTAACTGTATTATCTCATTTGGTTATAAAATCAGGGCAACATTAGCCTCAGATTAATTTTGGCACCTTCCCCTTCTCTATAGTGTGGAGAACATTTGGTTTAACAAATACATTATCTGTAACTTGATGGTTTGGTAAAACTTAAATCCATGATGGTGGAGCAGGTGCTTTTTATGTGGGTAGATTTTGGACTTTTCTTTAAAATACTTTAATCATTATAGGCTTATTTATATTTTTAATTGCTTCTTGAGGTAAAATTTTACATAAATTATCTATTATATCTGATGTCAAATTTATTAGAAAACAGTTTAAATACTATTGTCATATAATATTTACTATATTCCTAGTTAGGTTCTCTTTTTCTTTCTCTTCAATTGTGGCATCCCTACTTGTACTTAATTGGTCTTGCTTAAGTTTTGTCTCCTTCATTCGACTTTTAAAAAATATTCCCTAATATTTCTTTATTTTTTGTTTCATTAGTTTCTGCTATTAACTTTATAGTTTTCTACCTTCTTTTTCCTTGGTGGTTTATCCATTGTTATTTTTCTAACTTTCCAAGTGAATAACTCACTTATTTCTAGTATTTGTTTGTAATATTGGAATTGTGGGCTGTTGATTTTCCTTGACTAGATATTTTACTTGCATCTTCAAGTTATAATATATATTGATTTTATTGTTATTTTAGTCTAGATATTGTTTCCATTATGATTTCTTTTCTGATTACTTAAGTGTGTGTATGCTTCTGTGCATACATGTGTGTGTGTTTTTTCCAATGTAATCCTTATTTTTTCCTGTAATTTTTAAATTTGTATTTTATTGCACTGAGGTAAAAAATATTCTGTATATCAGCTCCCAAATTCTCATTTTAACTTTTGGTTTACATTTTATGTGATGATTTTCTTTATTTTAGGGTTAGCTTTGTATTAACAATTAATTGTATAATTTTTATACAATATGTTAAGGGAGTGAGTGTATTTGCCACTTCAGCTTGTAGTGTCTCAATAACCCCAATATTTTGTCAAAGAAAACCAAATAGTCTTTTCTACTTGTTACAGAGCTAAAGTTGGAAGTGGAGAATTTTCTGATATGGTTGATTGCTTACTACATTTCAAATGCTTTACATATGTTGCCTCGTTAATTAATACTCTACATATGTTACCTTTATCTATTAGGTAGATATTACCATTTTTGAGAATAAAAAAGTTGTTCCATGGTCACTTAATTAGGAGACCCAATAGTTAAGGTGTGATCTTCTAATTTTGCAATTACTCCAACTTGGTCCCTTGATTCCTAGCCCATCACTATGGACTTTCTTTGTGGATTTCTAAACAATTCAAAACACATAGAAATGCAAATATGACTTAGAAAAGACCAAAATAATGAGATAGTTGCATGGGTGGAAAACTATTTTTACTAATGAGTCAATAAGAATGGAGGAATAATTCTCAAAGAATAAGATTGAGACTTGAGAGAATAGAGATGTTACAAAATAGTGAAAAATAAGCCTATATTGTAACATATTTTTAAATTAACATTTTAGGATTAAATACAATTGGTAAAATTTCAAAGCAATAATTACAATTCCTGAAAAATAATTGCTTGCATTGTAACTGTACTGTCTGCAGCAATGGAGAAGAGGATGTGGGTCAATAGAGCAGTATATTAAGATAATTTTACTTTACTCTAAATTTTCACTGTGTTATTGTACTGATTTTATATATTAGAAAACAATTAGAAAGAATTTTTTAGATGTAGCTAACACTGGATAAAATGCTACATACGGGAAGTTAATTTGAGCATTCTTGTGTCCCTTTGTCCTAGTCTTCTCTGATCTGATGAGCAAACTGTTTCTTTCTCTATGTCTATATTTTAAAGATGGTTCTTACAACTTTAATACAAAGTGAGATTTGTATCTAATCAGCTTCAGCATTGAGCAAGCCTATACTCACAGAAAACTGATTTTTTTTACATTCTTTTTTTATCATCTATCCTTTTTCTTGTTCAGAGATTCATATATTGTTCAAGAATTTGTTTCTTGTTCTATACCCAGCTATGACTCAATAAAGGAAAATGCTGCTCATGGTCAATTTCTGTCTGTATGATAATGTGGTATCATACTGTGATGTTGTCAGTAGGTACTGTGATGCAGTCAACAGCCACAGTGATGTGTTCTGTAAGTGATGTCTGAGCTATAAAGACTTCAAGTCTCTTATGTGAGCACCTGAGATGGTTGCCCCAAAATCTGATGCACTCAACTAAGCTAAGAAATCTGTAGTTACTGAGGTTCCCCTACCTATGGCTGCCTATGGTTAGGTCTTACTGGCTGTATTTTATTGCATCGTAGTCTAAGTCTTTTTTTTTTTTTTTTTTTTTTTGACACAGAGTTTCGCTCCTGTTACCCAGGCTGGAGTGCAATGGCATCATCTTGGCTCACCACAACCTCCACCTCCTGGGTTCAAGCAATTCTCCTATGTCACCCTCCTGAGTAGCTGGGATTACTGACATGTGCCACCACACCTGGCTAATTTTGTATTTTTAGTAGAGATGGGGTTTCTCCATGTTGGTCAGGATGGTCTCGAACTCCCAACCTCAGGTGATCCTCCCACCTTGGCCTCCCAAAGTGCTGGGATTACAGGCGTGAGCCACGGTGCCCGGCCAGCATCGTGGATTGTGGTCTAAGTCTTATTGACAGGACTATACTTTTAGTTCAGTAGCACAGCTCCTTTTTTTTTTTTTTTTTTTTTTTTTTTGCATTTTTTGCTTCCCTTTCATGAAATACTCTCAATAATCCATCAGGGTATGTTAAAAACCTGTACTTTTAGATCTTCTAAGTTTCTGACCACTATATATCATTGCCTACTTGACAATTTCACATGGATATTGGGAAGACATCTCAAATTCAACATGTCTAAATCTGAGCATTAATCTATCTCAAGCCAGAGGCATACAAGTTGTTTGCTTATTTCTCTCCATTACCCAGCATCTACTTTCCTTATAAGAAAAGATTACAAAGACAAGGGCTACATCAGAATTGTTTGGTATTGCATCCAAGCAATACCAAAATTTACAATTGTTATGCAATTTTTCTGGCTCATGGTTAGATGTACTTAAAACTAATTACTAATAAACTGGACACTAAAGTCAGAAAATCTTGGGTTAAATTCTCGCTCTGTGATTTACCAGCTGTCTTAATGAACATTTCCTACTCATTTCCTGGTCCCTAATATGATTCAATATATTACCTACCTTCTGGGGTTGTAGTAGTTATTAAATTAGATAGTCATTAAATTAGTATTGACCATTAAATGAAAAGCTCACAAAACTTTGAGGGGCTCTGCTATATGTAGTATGTGTTTTACATTTCCACAGTTGAATTCTCTGAACAATTTAGAAAATCTTAAACTCCCATTGGTCTTTCAGTGAAATTGTAATAAATTAATGTTATTATTATTTTTTATCACTTTAAAAGATAGATATTTATGCATGCATTTTCATAGAAAGTTGGTTATAAATAAATGTGTTCCTTGGAAGTATTTAGCTTGAAGCTGGTCTTTCATCTTATAGAGTTATACTTCCTCATTGGAAAATAAACATTGTGTGTGTGTTTTTTTGCTATTAGTGTAAAATAATATGGATTTTTCATGTGAGAGTACAATATTTGTTAATATGCTATAATGAAAATATAAAAGACATGAGGAAAGCATTTATTGTAAGTCAGAAATTCTGTTTCACAGGTCATGAATTCAAATAGAAGATGATTTTAAAAATTACTCAACCACATTTAAATTGTGCCCAATCATACATCATATTTTAGAATGATATTAAGCTAATTTCCCTGCAATTGTAATTTATTAATATGTATTTCTTTTCATTTTATTCTCCAGGAAATGTCTGAAGTAAATGGAAATGAAACTAGATAGTTAACATATAACTTGAGTTCTAGAACAAAAGATGTAATATATATTATATGTCTCTACCTAACATACTGGCTACCTGATCATATTCTATGCTAGTCTGCCCATTTTCAAAACTGAGAAAATTTGAAATATTTTAAGGGGATTTTACTGTAGTTGGAGGCTAAATTCAGAGTATTTAAAAATATATGTTAGAAATCTTCCTCATTAAAGCCTGCTTTTATTTAAGTGTATGGATAGAGTCTTTCCAAACTATTTGTAAATCCTATTGTAAGAATATTGAAAAAAATGAGCTGCAATCAGATCTTAGAAGTGGAATTAAACTCTGAATAGCTAATCTAGTTAAACACAAAATCTATGAATAAGATGAACCATATGCCAATATTTTCAGATCCATGGAACATTCAACAAATGGTTGGGTGAATGGGTTTAAGAAACATACTGTGTATATGTGTTGAAAATTCTTTTCCTGAGATCCAAAATAATGAGTGCAAGAAAGAGATAATCAGTGGATAGAAAATGTTTACAACATTTGCTAAATATAGAAAGTGATAATTGATAAGTCAGGGTAGAGAAAACCACGGTCTAAAGTTCTAATAAAGATGATTGCAACCACAAGGATTCTGTTTTCTTCAATGAATTCAAAACAAGCTCCAGATAAAATAGAGAATGAAAAATAAATCATGAGATGAAAACGGAAAGATTAATTTCATTTCCCTATAAGCAGAGTTATTACCACCCTTCATTAGAGTAGAATTACCTAAATCCAGAAAATTTAATCACAGGTGATCAGTCATCACCTAGAGGATGGTGGAGAGTGAGGAATCCAATTAGATATTGAGGAGGGTGATCAGGTATTGAGACTGGGAGGTTCCTGTTAAGCTGACATAGCAGGGTTCCTTGCTAAAACTAGATTTTACAGGAACATGCATAAATAGGCCTAGGAAAAGGTGGATAGACTGACTAAAGTTTAGTCAATTTCAATTGCAATTATTAAAGTTTTGAATCTAGCTATTAAAGACCCCATATCTTTAATAATTGAAATTGAAAACATACAACAGTTTTTTTCACTGTAGAACATATTCAGCTGAAGAAAAGATTAGTGATTTGGAATACTGATTAGTATATTAAAATATATGTATTATCATCAAAAATGAGGAAAAGAGTGATGGAAAATAAAGAAAAATTCTAGGAACCATATGGCTTTCAGTGAAAAATTTAACACATTTGTGTTTATAGAGTCCCACTAAGATGGGGGGGGGGGTATAGAGAAAAAGAGAGAGAGAGAAGAATCACAGAATAGAAGCAATATTTTTGAATGCAAAATAGCTGATAACATTTCCAAACTGATGAAAGGGAAGTAATGCTAATCACTGAAAGTAAAGTGAATACAAAGAAAAATACATATTGGTATACCATAATAAACCTTCTCAAAATAAAAATTTGAAAAATAAAGGACTTCTAAAGCATTCAAATTACAACTGGGGCATTAGCTTCAAAGGGAAAGTGAAACTGATAACTGATTTCTCACTAGTGCAGTGGAAACTGAATGGAAATGCAGTGACATCTTTAAAATGGTGAAAGAGCCCAACTGCCAGTGACCTATAACCAGAAAACAAAACAAAACAAAAACAAAAACAAATAAACTAATAAATATAAACAAAATAGAAATAATTCTAAATAATAAGAATTAAAAGGATTTATAGCCAGCAGAACTACCCCAAAAGACACACTGTATGTAAATAAAATATGATCCTCAATGGAAGCACAAAAAGGAAAGAAAGAATGAAGGGTGTGGAAAGGGTGAATTTGTTGGTAAATCAAAATATATATTGACTATAAAACAGTGATTACAATTTATTTTGAAATTTAAACAAATGTAAAATAAAATAGACAATAACTATAACATAAAAGGCAGAAGGGGCCAAATTGAAATAACATCTTCGAAATTTCTTGCTTTCTCAAGGAAGTGGTAATAGTACTCATGTATAAACAATAAAATGTACTCAAAGATCTATGTTGAAACCTCTAGGGCAAATACAAAAGAATAGTAGAAGAGTTTATAACCTACAAGCTGATAGAAGGAAGGATAAATTGGTTAAAATATGGAATTTTTTAAAAAAAGGGCTGGGCACAGTAGCTCAGATCTGCAATCTCAGCACTTTGGGAGACTGAGGCAGGGGGATCACAAGAGGCCAGGAGTTCAAGACCAGCCTGGCCAACGGGGCCAAATCTCCTCTCTACTAAAAATACAAAAATTAGCCAGACATGGTGGTGGGCACCTGTAGTCCCAGCTACCTACCCAGGAAGCTTAGACAGGAGAATCTCTTGAACTGAGGAGGCAAAGGTTGCAGTGAGCAGAGATCACGCCACTGCACTACAGCCTGAATGACAGAGCAAGACTCCATCCCCTGCAAAAAGTAATTAATAGATAGGAAGAGAAAATAAGAGAGGAAAAGGTAAGAGGAAAGATGGAACAAAGAGTAAACAAAAAGTAAGATGGCAGGTAAAATTCCCAGTACTTCAGTAATATCTCTATCAGTAACTTGAATATATATTCATTAAAAAATTAAGACTACGTGGCTTATACTTGTGTTGCTCATATCATACACAATTTGTATGTAATAACACAGGAAGTGTGAAAATGGAAGTATGAAGAGAGATATACGCAAATGCTATACAAAAAAAGGGATAACTGTATGGATCTCAGACAGAGGTGAAGAGGGCTTCAAAAGAGAGTGATAAATACCCTGGCCCTTGACTTCTTTGTCTTTCTTCTTCCCTCAGTTATTTGAAAGTAGATGAGATGAACATCACCTATTTGTTTCTCCTGTATCATATTCTCCACTGTCAGGGTAGCCAATATCATGATCATGGTCTCTTTATTGGAAAAGGGTCTCTATGATCTTAGTCTTCCAGTACTTTTTTTTTACATACACAGGTATACATGAAATTTAGGAAATTCTATCTCCCTGACACTATCCTCTGAGTGTTGTTTTATTTTGTATGTCAGAATATTTTTACTACCGTATTTATTTTTCTCTCTTTGAATTTCTGCTGTACCAACTCTTATCTCTCATCACAAGAAAAATATGTGCCTTTTTTCTGATTAGAAGGAGGATTATAAACATCAAAATGATTAGGAGAAAAGTGCAATGATATGCTTAATACTATAACAGTTTATAATCTTTTTATGTTGTATGTAGGATATTGATACTTAATATTATTTCATTTAATATTCACACATTCATGAATATTCTGAAGTCTTATTAAAGCAAAAATTTATACTTCCTTGAAGAAAAAAATTATGTAATTGTATCATTTCTCTCATACTCGCAGATACCAAATAAAACATAGACTTAACTTTCAGTTCAGCCTCAGCAGAGGTTTGGAGAAGCCAATTTGACTACTTTTGACATATGGTCAAACCATTTTGTCACTACAGCTCTGGAAACTGAGAAAATTTCAATTCATCACATTCGTGTCAGAAGGAAATCCATTCTGAAAATTAAGTTGGTCTCTCATCTTTTTATACATTCTCATACTTCACCTCATGCCCTCACATGAACCATTAACTTTAAATGAGGTTGGGTGAAAGGACTCATGACCTGAAACTAGACCCAGGCAAGCCATGCAGTTGAGTGTAAAGAGATAGTTCCACTATTAAGTGGTATCCTGCAGTGAACATCATTTGCTATACTCCTTGTGTAACTGACCATTCCTATTGTGTGACCTTGGGTAAGACTGCAAATCTGCCTAGGCCAAAATTGATATATAAAAATTTGGCATTATTATAATACTAACATTTTTGGAGCAAAGGATAAAATAGCTAATGTTTATAAAAGCCTTTCCTAAAATTTCAAGGATATATTTATTATTTTTGATGTGGTTATTTATGTGAAAAATAATAAATAAATTGCGCTTTTATTTTACATTCTTATAACAATCTTCTACTTCCTGATTTCTTTCTTCCTCAGATACTGTCATTTCCTTATGTTTTCAAAAACAAACTTAAACTGCTAATCCAACCATCCCTCAGATCATTTAAGTTATCCATACAACCTAAGCACTGTACAGAGAGAAAAATTAACATGAAGGCATATGCCTAATACCTCCTTGCTTTCTCTGTTCAGTGCTAATTGTGTGTTATACACAATGCGAGATATTTTATGTGCATTTTCTTATTTAACCCTTGCAGTAACTTGTGGAGTTAAGCATACAATCTCCATTTATAGAAGTGAAGTAAAATTATGGCTCGAATAGTTTAAAGAATGGCCAAGGTCATTCAATTAATAACTGCCAGAGCAAAACATTTCCTATAGGTCTGGTGACTAAGATCTGGCATGTGGGATGTCAACAAAAGTGTCATGTGTACTTCAGTATTGCTGACTTGAAATGAAAGGCTGTTCCCTACTTCTGATCTTTACTCCAGCTGGCTAGAATGTGGACATTATGACTACAACTTAAATAATGATCATATTCATGATGTTCATGTTAAATTAAACTTGGTGGTGTAACTCTGGTGGTTATTGAAATCACCTTACCGTTCTTGAAATACTTACTGGACTTTTTATGAAGGAGAATGAAAAATCTGTTTTAGATGGCCTCTATTTTATTTAGGCTATTTCTTTCTGTGATTTTCAATCACATTTAACTGAATCCAAACGGTAGACAAGACATTCCATTTCATCAAACTATTGATTTCAAACAATTAGTTCTCCTAATTTTTGTTTACAGAAATTCTAGATATTAACTCTATTTCAGGATACTATAGACCAGGGATGTCCAATCTTTTGGCTTCCCTGAGCCACATTGGAGGAAGAAGAATTGTCTTGGGCCACACATAAAACACTAATACTAATGATAGCTGATGAGCTAAAAATTCACAAAAAAATCTTACAATATTTTAAGAAAGCTTAAAAATCCATGTTGGGCCACATTCAAAGCCATCCAGGGCTGCATGAGGCCCATGGGCAGCAGGTTAGTCAAGCTTGTTATAGACTGAGACTGTAACATCTAGTAAATACACTGTTAGAATCAAATTCCATTTCAACATATCATCACATATAACATTTTGAGCTGAAGTACAATTAAGTCTAAGCCTTTCTATTCTCTCTTTTGTTGTATTAAAGAAGATGGAAATCATTAGTGTTGATATAAAACATGCCAAGATTTTATGCTTTTTTTCCTCATTTTTATAATCCATTTAATCTGCAAAAATCAAGTCTGACAATATTAAGCGGTAAAAAAATATGAATCAAGAAATTTCTTATATATTACTAGTGGGCATATAAAAAGACACACTACTTTGAAAGATAATGTGACATTTTAAAAAATTCCGTTTTTACTTTAGCATCACTGGGTCTATGTGCAGGTTTTTTACAAGGGTATATTGCATGGTGCTGAGGAGGTTGGGCTTCTATTGATCCTGCCACTCAAATTGTGAACATAGGACCCAATAGAAAGGTTTTCACCCTTCCTCAGCTCCCTTCCTTGTTTTGAAGTCCCCAGTGTCTATTGTTTCCATCTTTATGTACATGTGAACCCAAGATTTATCTCACTTTTAAGTGAGAAGATGTGGTATTTGGTTTTCTGTTTCTGTGTTAGTTTGCTTAGGATAACGGCCTCTAGCTGCGTCGATGTTTCTGCAAGGAACAATACTTTTATTCTCTTTTATGATCGCATAGTATTTCATGGTGTATATGTACCACATTTTCTTTATCCAATCCACCATTTATGGGCATCTAGGTTGATTCCATGTCTTTGCTATTGTGAATAGTGCTGCAATGAACATATGCATGCATGTGTCTTTGTGGTAGAATTATTTATATTCCTTTGAGTTATACCCTGAAATGGGATTGCTGGGTCCAATGGTAGTTCTGTTTTTAGGTCTTTGAGAAATTGCCACGTGTTTTTCCACAAGGGATGAAATAATTTACACTATCACCAACACTAACACCAAAAATAAGCATTTTTTTTTCTCTGCAGTCTCACCAGCACCTGTTATTTTTTGACTTTTTTTTTTTTTTTTTTTTTTTTTGGGACAGGGTCTCACTTCTATTGCTGAGGCTGCAGTACAGTGGCATGATCCCGGCTCACTGCAGCTTCAACTTCCTCAGCTGAGGTGATGGTCTCATCTCAGCCTCCTGAGTAGCAGGGACTACAGGTATGCCACCATGCCCAGCTAGTATTTTGTATTGTTTTAATAGAGATGGGGTTTTGCTATATTGCCCAGGCTCGTGATGAACTCCTGGGCTCAAGTGATTCACTTGCCTCAGCCTCCCAAAGTTTTAGGATTACAGGCAGGAGTCATCACACCTGAGGTTTTGACTTTTTATTAATAGCCACTCTGGCTAGTGTGAGATGGCATATCATTGTGTTTTTGATTGTATCTCTCTGATAATTAGTGATATTGAAAAATTTTTGATATTTTTGTTGGCTGCTTATATGTATTCTTTGGGGATATGTCTGCTCATGTCCTCTGCCTACTTGTTAATGGAATTGTTTGTTCATTTCTTGTTTCATTGAAATCCCTTATAGATTCTGGATACTAGTCCTGTTTTGGATGTGCAGTTCGCAAATATTTTCTCCCATAATGTAGGTTGTCTGTTTGTTCTGTTGAATTTCCTTTGCTGTGTAGTAGCTTGTTAGTTTCATTAGTCCCATTTCTATACACCAACAATGTTCAAGCTGATAATCAAATCAATAACACATTCTCATTCACAGTAGCCACAAAAAGATAAAATACCTAGGAATATACCTAACCAAGGAGGTAAAAGATCTGTACAAGGAAAACTACAAAGCACAGCTGAAAGAAATCATAGATGACACAAACAAATGGAAAAGCATTCCAAGCTCATGGGTTGAAAGAATCAATATCGTTAAAATGTCTGTATTGCCTAAAGCAATCTACAGATTCAATTCTATTCCTATCAAACTACCAATGTCATTTTCATAGAAACACAAAAAACTATTCCAAAATTCATATGGGATTAAAAAAAAAGAGCCCAAGTAGCCAAAGCGATCCTAAGCAAAAAGAACAAGGCCAGAGGCATCACATTATCTGGCTTCAAATGATACTACAAGGCTACAGTAACCTATCAGCATCCTATTGGTACAAAAACAGACACACGAATTAATGGAACACTATAGAGATCTCTGAAATAAAACTGCACACCTACAACCAACTCATCTTTGACAAAGTAAACAAAAATAAACAATGAGGAAAGAACACCATATTCAGTAAATAGTGTTCGGAAAACTGGCCAGCCATATGCAGAAGAATGAAAAGAATGAAACTGGATCCCTACCTTTCACCATGTACAAAAATGTACTCAAGATGGATTAATGACATCCATGTAAAACCTCAAACTATAAAAATTATAGGAGAAAACCTAGGAAATACTTTTCTAGACATTGGCCTAGGCAAAGAATTTATGATGAAGACCCCAAAAGCAACTGCAAAACAATAAAAAAGTATGCTTTATTATCTTTCAGAATGCTTCATTGATTCTCATTCCACTATGCTGGTATGTAAAGAGCAGAGCAATAGATGTTGTAAGAGTTTTAAGGAAAATTATATAGGCTACTGAGGTTACGTGAGTTGGAATTAAGCCAGAGCAGAAGCAATAACATGTGGGCAAATATCCAAAACAACAGAAGAACTCCCTCAAAGGAAGAAGCTCATCCTTTGAAATGTAACTTGAGAGGTGCTGTCAGACACTGCAGTTCTTTGAAGATTATTAAGACAAGCTCTGTTGTTTATCCATGTTCATAAGAATTGTTATTCAATTTTTTTAGGTAGAAATATGCGTTGCTGAAACTATAATTGGAGACTTAATATAATAGAAAGAATATTAGTTTGAGACCAGATTGACTTGAGTTTGAAAGTCAGTTTTCCTAATTGTTAACTGCATCAAAAATATAACTGCAAAACAGGATCATAATGATCTCTCAGATTTGCTATGAGCATTGATTGAAATATTTTAGTCATAAGTATGTAACGTATGGTTTGTATTTAAGAAACAGTAGTGGTCTAAATATATCAATTCTTTTATGGAAGTCCCTAAATCCTTAGAGCACACAAAGGTAGTTGTTTTGGTTTAGGTCGCCTCACAATCAGAGTTTGAAATCAGCGTTTGCCTGTAAATTATTTGGAACACAGTCCAAGGAAGGGGAAGTGAGGGAATGGGGAAAGTGAGACAAGAAATGGAGAAAAGACTATTTATGATAATGAGCTAACTACTACTGTGAACACTGGGACTCAGCACCTCTGGGGACCCACTGAGAAATCAAATAGAATATGCATCCAAATGAACCGAATCAAAAATAGGGAGGATCAGAATCTATCTGCTGAGTCTCATTCCTCATTGGTTGCTGCTTGCTCTTGAAGGCACTAATTCTTCCACATTCTGAGCCATAACTACATAATGGCTGAGTGGCTTTTTATGACTTTGGAGAAAGTTTCAAGGCAGATAAGCAGAGAGATACTGTGAGGCGTTCCTGAAGTGAGATCATGGTCCTGTGTGCGGGATTCCTCATCACAGCTGCACTGAAATCTAATGAGCCAAGGGTATGTGGCCAAGGCATCTCAAGAGTCTAGGGTGTGTGTGTGTGTGTGTGTGTGTGTGTGTGTGTGTGTGTGTGTGTGTGTGTGTGTGTGTGTCTGTCTGTCTGTCTGTCTGTCTGTTGGGGGGTGGGTGGAGGTGTCTGTGCATTACACTTAGCTATTGCAAAGCCTAAATGTGACATTGTACGGAAAAGTGGTGGGAAGGCCAACAAAAATATCATTTTGTTGTTGTTGTTGGTTGGTTGCACTTATATCACCTCAGTGTGTTAACCCTGGTTTTTTGTTTTTTTTTTCCATGCTGATTAGAAAGAAGTTCTGATAATTAGTAATGTCAAGGAATGTCTAGCCTATGGGAAAGAAAATAACAAAAGGACTCTTAGGTACAAAATATTTTTGAATTATTATCTTAATGCTATGTGATAATAATTATTTTTAGGTAAACTGGCTGACCTCTTTTTGTAAAGTAAGACTTTTCAAACAATTATCATGGTGAGAATATTTCCTGTATCGTTAATGAAATAAAAATGGAAGCCAATATAATTTTATTCTGCCAAAAGTAGTAACAAGTAACAGTATATTTAAGTTTATATTGCTTTAAAGATACTCTTTATCCTAGCAGACCATATGAGCTATTTTAACCACCTTTAGTAAGTAATATGGTTTAAAAATTTAAAAGCTTATTGGGACTAATAAAAACATAAAGTGACAACCTTCAATCCATTCTATGTACCTGCAGTTCAGTCAGACTTATTTTTGGTTGTTGTATTTTTCATTAGACACTTGATAAATTGTGTTTTATTATTTATATTCAACTCGCTTTAGAAAGAAATTTAAAGTCATTGATAGAAAAAGTATGTTCCTTTAAGAATACCTCAGTAAACAAAACAAACCTTAGAAAATGTCAATTAAAAGGAGATGAAGAGGAAAGTAAGAAATAAATACAGCAGGATACCTAAGTTCAAAGAAAATAATTGACCTCTGCTTCCTTACAATCAAGGCAATAAAGAAAATAATGAGTTGTATATTACTCAATAAATAATCATCTTTTTTTTCTATACTTACATTTTCTTGCTCAATATATATTTAAGTTGAATAACCACAAAGCTTATTCAACAAACTAGAATTTATTCTTAAATTGGGCAAGTATCCTAAAATGAGAATTGCTGATTTTACAAAATTTATGGAAGTTGTGATATATTTAGTTTGGACAGTTTAGATATATGTTTTTAAGATATGCAAAATATAATTCCTTCAAAAAATGACAGCAAAGTTGACAAAAATGGCCTTTTTTGCATGTAAGATTACGTTGTTATTTATTTTCACTAAAATGAAAATCTAAGCAAGTGAGAAAGAAATGTCTGTTTGATTTGGATATATCTATTTTCTTTGTTTTCAGTTGACAGGTAATTGTACATATCTATGGGGAACATGATATTTTGATAAATATATACAATGTGCAATGATCAAATCAGAGTAATTAGCATATCAATTACCTCAAACATTTATCATTTCTTTGTGTTGAGGACATTCAAAATCCTCTTTTAGCTATTTGAAAATATATAAAAAAATTGGTAATGATTGTCATCCTACAGTGCTATAGAACATTATAGTTTATTTATTCATTCTAGATGTAATTTTGTATTCTCTAAACAATCTCTCCCTATCTCCTTCCCACACCACCTTTCCCAGCTTCTAGTCATTGTAATTCTACTCTCTACTTCTAGGAGCTCACTTTTTTTGCTGCACAGATAAGTGAGAACATGCAGTATTTATTTTTGTGCCTGACTTACTTCACTTAACATAATATTTTTCAGACTCATCTATATTGATGCTAGTGCAGGATTTCATTCTTTTGTATGACTAAATAGCATTCCAAGTATGTATACTACAATTTCCTCATTCATCCATCTGTTGATGGACACGTAGGTTGCTTCCATATCTTGTTTATTGTGAATAGTGCTGCAGTAAACATGGGGATACAGATATCTTTTTGATATAATGATTTCCTTTTCACTGGAAAACTACCCAGTAGTAAGATTGCTGGGTCACATGATAGTTCTATTTGTATTTTTAAAAAGAACTTCAATACTATTTTCATAGTGGCTGTACTAATTTGCCTTCCCACTTACTGTGTATGAGTTATTTTTTCTCCACATTCTCATCAGCATTTGTTATTTTTTGAAATGTCTGCTGTTGGCTTGATAGAGTTGGCCTTGTAGGTGACCTGCTCCTTGTTTCTAGCTGCCTTTATCATTTTTCTTTCTTTCACATTGACATTGAATCACTTGATAACTGTATGTCTTGGGGATGGTCATCTTGTATAATAATTCACAGGGGTTCTCTGAATTTCTTGAATTTGAATGTTGACCTCTCTAGTGAGGTTGGGGAATCTTTATGGATACTATCCTCAGTTATTTTTTCCACGTTGTTAGCTCTCTTTCACTCTCTTTCAGGGACACCATTGAATCATACATTTGGCCTCTTTACATAATCCTATATTTCTTAAAGGTTTTGTTCATTCTTTTTTATTCTTTGTTCTTTATGTCAGATTGAGTTGATTCAAAGAACTGGCCTTCGAGCATTGAGATTCATTTCTCAACTTGATTTCTTCTGTTTTTAATACTTCTGTTTGTGTTACAAATTTCTGTAGTGATCTTTTCAGCTGTCTCAGACAAGTTTATTTCTTTCTTAAAATTTCTATTTTGTGTGCAGCTCTTCTATCATTTTATTAAATTCCTTAGATTCATTGGAGTGGGTTTCAACTTTGTCCTGAATATCAATGATGATCTCTATTGCTATCCAGTTTCTGAATTCTAAGTCTGTTGTTTCAGCCATTTCAGTCTAGTTAAGAACTATTGCTGGAGAGCTCGTGTGGTCATTTAGAGGTAAGGAGACACTGGTTGTTTTGAGTTGCCAGGGTTCCTGTGCTGCCTCTTTCTAATCTCTGTGGGATAATGTTGCTTTGAACTTTGAAGTTGGCTTGGTTTGGATGTTTTTTTTTTTTTAATTTTATTTTATATACCTGGATGCCTTTGAGGATTTGACTGTGGTATAAGTTGAGTTCAGATGAATGGTTTCATTCTGGATGATTTCTGGTGGCCATACCTGAGCTTAGCACTGCTGACTGCATACCCTAACCATAAGCGGCAGGTATCAGGGCATTGTATTATTCTCTGACCCCTCAAGATTAAGCACCTGCTATGCTGGAGGGGCTGAGGGCTCACAGTCCACAGGCAACCAACACTCTTATGGGGGTTGCTAACAAAAGCACTTGAGTGGGGTGGTGGAAGTGGGGCCAGCATGCACATGTACTCTAGCGTGGGAGAGGATTCATGTCTGGATGCGCATGTGTGGTGATGGAGCATCATCATCCATGCACACTAGTAGCAACAATGCAACAGTTTCCACACATGTGCATATGCTCATGTGGTAGTGGCATGTTTTTTGTCTTTTCGATAATAGCTATTCTCACTATGTTGATGTGGTATCTCATCATTATTTTAATTTACATTTATTTAATGATTCGTGATGTTGACCATTTCTTCATATACTTGGTGACCATCTTATGTCTTCTTTTGAGAAATATCTATTCAGATTATTAGCCCATTTGTTAATCAGATTTTTAGATTTTTTTTGCTGTTGTTTGGCTTCCTAGTGTATTCTCAGTATTAATTCCTTGTTCTATAAATGGTCTGCAAATATTTTCTCCCATTTTGCAGGTCATCTCTTCACTCTGCTGATTATTTCTTTTGAGGTGAAGAAACTTTTTAGCTTGATGCAATCCTGTTGGTCTGTTTTTGCTTTTGTTGCCTGTGTTTTTAGTCTTATTCATATTTTTCTTTGCCCAGACCAATGTCTTGAAGCATTTCCCTTATGTTTTCTTTAAGTAGTTTCATGAATCTTATATTTATGAAATATTAATCTTATATTTAAATGTTTTTAGTTTGGGTTTTATTTTTGCATATGGTGAAAGGTAGGGGTTTAGTTTCATTCTTCTGCATACAGATATTTAGTTTTCCCAGCACCAATGATTTATACAACTGTCCTTTCCCCGATGTAGGTTATTGGTGCCTTTGTCAAAAATCAGTTGTCTGTGAATACATAGATTTATTTCTGTGTATTCTTTATTTCTCTCTAACTTGTTCCATTGGTCTACATAAATTTTTATGCCAGTACCATGGGTGTTTTGATTACTATGGCTTTGCAGTATATTTTCAAGTCATGTTGTATGATGCCTTGAGCACACTTTGTTTCTTTTGCTCAGTATTGTTTTTGCTATTCAGGGCTTTTTGTGGCTTCATACAAGTTTCAAGATTGTTTTCTCTCTTTCCGTAAATAATGCCATTCATATCTTGATAGGTACTGCATGAAATCTGTAGATTTCTTTGGGTCGTATGGTCATGTTTTCAATATTAATTTTTCCAATCTGATATGGTTTGGCTCTGTGTCCCCAGACAAATCTTATCTCGAATTGTAATCCCTACATGTCAGGGGAGGGACAAGGTGGGAGGTGATTGGATCATGGGGGCAGGTTTTATGTGCTGTTCTCATGATAGTGAGTTAGTTCTCAAGAGAGCCGATGGTTTTAAAGTGTGGCACTTCCTCTTTCTCACACACATTCCCTCCTGCCACCTTGTGAAAAAGGTGCCTATTTTCCCTTTTGCTTCTGCCATGATTGTAAGTTTCCTGAGGCTTCCTAGCTATGCTTCCTGTTAAGCCTGCAGAATTGTGAATTAATTAACCTGCTTTCCTTTATAATTACCCAGTCTTAGGTGGTATTCTTTATAGTGGTGTGAGAATGGACTAATACACAATCCATGAACATGGATGTCTTCCCGTTTTTAAGAAAAGAAAAGGAGAGAAGACCCAAATTTACAAAAACAGAAATAATAAAGGAGACATTACAACTGATACTACAGAAATACAAAGTATCATTAGAGGCTATTTTGGTCAAGTATCTGCCAACAAATTAGAAAACTTAGAGGAAATGAATAAATTCCTCAACCCATATAACCTACCAAGATCGAATCAAGAAGAAACAGAAAAGCTGAACAGAATAATCAGAAGCAATGAGATTGAATTAGTAGTATAAAATCTCCCAAGAAGAACAGCCTTACACAGGATCACATCAAAGCTCTATTTCACAACCTTTTAAAGGAGAACTAACACATATTCTTCTCAAACTATTCAAAAAAATTGAAAAGGTAGTAATTTATACAAACCAATTCTATATTATATTCAATTCGCTTTAGAAAGAAGCCAACATCACCCTGATACTGAAATCAGACAAAGACCCACAAAAAAAGAAAACTGTAGGTCATTAGCTCTGACGCAGTTTTGCATAGCTGTATAAATCCTTAACAAAATACTAGCAAACAAAATCCAACAGCACATCAAAAAGATTGTATACCATGATCAAGTGAGATTTATCCTAGGAATAGGAAGGCAAGAATATTTCAACATACACACATCAATAAATGTGACAAATCACATTAACAGAATGAGAAACAAAAGCCCTGTAATCATCTCAGTAAACGCAGAAAAAAAACATTTGACAAAATTCAGCATGCCTTCATGATGAAAACTGAACAAATCAGATCTAGAAAGAATGTTCCTCAACACAGCAAGGGCCATATGTGATAAACCCACAGCTACCATCATATTGAATGAGAAAACATTGAAAGCTTTTCCTCTAAGGACTAGAACAAGGGAAAGATGCTCACTTTTACTATGGTTATTCAATATAGTAGTGGAAGTTCTAGCCAGAGAAATTAAGGGAAGAGAGAGAGAGAAAGGGAGGGAGGGAGGGAGGAAGGAAGGAATGGAGGGGAGAGAGAAAGAAAGAAAAAGAAGAAAGAAAGAAAAAGAAAGAAAGGAAGAAAGAAAGAAAGATAGATGGATAGTGAATCAGAATTGGAAAGGAGGAAGTCAAATTGTCCCTGTTTGCAGACAACACAATCTTATCTATTGAAAAACCTAAAGACTATACCAAAAACCTATTAGAAGTGATAAAATAGTTTGGTAAAGATGAAAGATAAAAAATCAACATCCAAAAACCAGTAGCACTTCTGTACACCAATAACAAATTAGCTCTAAATTTAAGAAAGCAATTCCATTGACAATAGCTGCAAAAAATAATAAAGGACCTAGGAATAAATTTAAGCAAGGAGGTAAAAACTCTTGACAATGAAAGCTACAAAACATTGATGAAAGAAATAGAAAAACATTTTTGAAGAAGCAGACAGTTAGCAGACATAATGCTTTTTTCTGCAATTTCAATTGAAGTCAACTGAGTGGTAATACAGTGCCAAATAAATTTAGCCCAAATCCACAGAGAATGTGCAATTAAGAGGCTTCTTCTACACTGAACTGGTTAGTCTTTTTTGGATTACATTGACAGGAAGTTGAACAAAATTGAAAGCTTTGATAGATAAATTACCAGGAAGAGAATGGGAGTGAAAACCAACTCAAGAAAATTCCTCTCTTTGTTTCATATTCCATTTTCAATCCGTTTGAAAAAACAGTTGGCTTTACCTTCAAAACACAGGCAGAATCTAATTAGTTCCTACCTGCTCCAATGTTGCCATCCTGTCTCAAGCTACTATCATTCCTTCTCTGAATTTTTGTAATAGCCTCCTGATTGGCCTCTCTACTTTCACTTTTGTCCCCGTAAAGATTATTCGTAATGCAACAGCCAGAGAAATTTAAAAAAAAAATCTAACTAGATAGTGTCATCCTCTGCATAACAACTTCAATAGCTATATGTCTTACTTCTAGTAAGAGACCAAAGTTTTAAAATGCATAGAGGTGATTTGTGGCCTCTCTTACTTTAACTCCTAGTACGCTAGACCTTTCTCACTGTGCTTCAGGCACATTGGCCTCATTGCCAACCATACACTTTCCCTAGGGCCTTTGCCTGGCTGTTGCCTCTGTAGTGTAGCTAACTTCCTTTCCCTTTTAAAGGCTTTTTCAAATCTCACCTTCCCAGTGGGGCCTGCTCTTAAAAAGCTGTCTAAAATTGCAACCTTACTTTTTCCTCCTTGTTAACTCCTAATCTTCCTACTCCTTCTCTCTCTAACAGCTATACTAAAGTATAATTGACAAAATAGTCATGTTCATTTAACATGTACAATTTGATAAGTTTTGACAAATTAATACTACTAGAAAAGTATCATAACTATCAGGAAAATGTACATATCATCGTACCAAAAGTTTCCCTTTACCCCCTTATAATCTTCACTTCTGCTGCATCCTGCCATTTAAACCCACCCACAGGAAACCACTGATGTTACTTTCTATTGCTATAAGTTCTTTTTAATTTCCTAGAATTTTAAATGAAAGGAAACATATTGTATAATTTTTTTTGGCGGGAGGTCTGGCTTCTTTTTGTCTGGCTTCTTTCACTCAGTTTAACTGTTCTGAAATTCATCATACTGGCCTATATTAACAGTTCATTTTTAATATTTACTGATGAGTTGTATTCCATTGAATGGGTAGATCACCATTGTTACATTTACTTACATTTTGACAAAAACTAAAATTGTTTACAGTTTGGGACTATTACAAATAGAGCTGCTTTGTATATTTGTGTGCTTTAATGAACGTACACTTTTATTTCTCTTGGGAAAATACTTAGAAGTGGAGTGGTGGGAGAATAAGGTAGATCTATGTTTAACTTCTTAGGAAACTCCCCGACAGTCTTTCAAAAACAATTGTACCATTTTTTATTCCAACTAGAAGCATATGCCAGTGTGAGTTTCTCCACACCCTCAAAAACATTTTCGCCATGGCCAATCATTTTAATTTTAGCATCTTCAAATATGCTTATTTGCTTGCTGTCTTTGTATTTCCTTTGGTGAAGTGTCTGCCTAAATATATTGCCATTTTTTTTAACTGTATGATTCGTTTTCTATTATTTGAGTTTTGAGAGTCCTTTATATGTTGTATATACAAGTACCTTATCAAGTACATGATTTCCAAATATATTTTTCCAGTCTATGGTTTGTCTTTTTATTCCTTTAACTCTGTCTTTCAAACAGAAGTTTCCATTTTGATGAACTCCAACTTATTATTTCTTTTCTTTTAATGAACTGAATATTTCTTGTCATATCTAAGAAAATCTTTGCTTTAACCAAGACACAGATTAACTCATTTATTTTCTTCTAGAGGTTTTATACATTTTATATTTAAGTTCATAATCCATTTTGAGTTAATTTTTATATTTGATGTAAGGTGTAGTTTGAAGTTCTTTTTGTTTATTTAATTTTAGATATGAATATTGAATTGTTTCAGCATAATTTATTGAAAGAAAAATCTGTACTTCTCCACTCAGTTGCCCTTGTGTCTGTGTTAAATAAAAGCTGTGTATGTGTAAGTATATTTCTGGACTTTATTCAGTTTGACCCATTTTTTATCTTGATAATACTACTACATTATTTTGATTGCTGTTGATTTATAGTAAGATCTAGAATCAGCCAGTGTCATGCTTCTTTATTTCTACCATTTCTGTGTTTTTTTCATTGTTCTATTTCTTTGCATTTCCATGTGAATTTTAGAATCAGCTTTTGAGTTTCCCCAAAATAACTGGCTGAATTTTGATTGGAATTGTACTAACTTTATAAATGCAATTTTTAGAGACTTGACATCTTAACAATATTGAGTCTTCTGAGCCATGAAAAAAATTATCTATTTTTTGGGTATCTTTTAATTTTTCTCAGCAATGTTTCATAGTTTTTAATGTACAGTAGTTTTACATATTTGTCATATTTAACCCCAAGTATTTCATATTTTTACACTATTTAGAGTATTTACTCTTGATTAATTTCAATGTATGACCGTTTGTTCCGAGTATATAGAGATGTAATTGATTTTAGTATATTGATTTTGTATCTTGCAACCTTGCTAAACTCAACAGCTTTGCTGATGATTCCATCAGAGCTCCATGAAGATGATTATGTCATCTGCCTTTTAAGCCAGTATTCTTCCTTTCCAATATGGCTGCTTTTAGTTTCATTTCCTTGTCTTTCTGTAATGGCTAGAAGCTGCTATGAAACATAGAAAATCAGTTTTCAGGGTGGACCTTCATATATTTTCCCTGAACTGAGAGGAAAAAAAATCAATCTTTTAGGTTTAGTATGATGTTGGCTATAGGTTTTTCTAAAATTGTGTGGACTCCTGTACTTAAATTTTAGTAATCTTTTCTTCTGTATTTCTCACTACTTGTTTCTCAGCAGCCACTACTCTTCATGTTCTCAATGCCAGCGGCCCTTTTTCCCTAGCCTCCCAATTTTCTACTGCTAATGTACTATGAGTTAAGAACTAGCAGCTACAAGACATGTACCATGTGCTAAGCATTGTGCTGGATGATTTTAAATCTCATTTAGTGAGAAAGGCTCACAGGGATGACATGACAAATGCAATGTTCCATGTTGCATGTTGTACATGTTGTGTACCTCTGTTGGATTGTGTTTTCATCATTTTGCAACTGAGAAAGGCTCATGGGGGTGACATGGCAAATGCAGAGTTCCTTGTTGCATGTCATACAGATATTATTCAGCGTATATTAACAATGTTGAGAATATACAGTGCAAGATATATGGCATATACTAGATTTCCTTTCTCGAGACATTCACAAACTAATACATGAATCTGAAGACTTTGCTCTTTCCACTATGCCTCATTGCCTCCAAGGTTTGTTAGGAAAACTAGCTCACCATACTTATTAGAATGATGTGAAATGATGCCATCAAATAAGTGCTGAGTGAGGGCTTGAGTATTGCTCCATTGAGAAAGATATATAAATTTTAGTACTTGGTTTTTTTTTTTTTTTAACCAGCTTCACCGCTTTGTTATTTCCTTACTTTTATCCTAGTTCTCATTTACATTTCAAATGAGAAAATATATCTGATCCCAATTTTGGAATAAGTAGGTTGTTGCTGTGCTTGCTTTTTCATTCTGTTTCCAAAAGAATTATTTATAGAATTATAATAGAAGAAGAAGAAATACATCCTTAGGGCAAATATTATCAAGAGGGTGGGGATGACTCACTTAGCCTTGACACAGCTAGATTATTCTCTATGCTTATCTCTCATTTTCATAGTGTTATTGTTGTTCTTACAATTTTAGAAATAGACTAAAACTGCAGCCGTCTAGCAATTTCTATCAACTACATCTAGAAGCTGAACTCTTTTTTCTCTCCTCTCTATAAATTCTTTGCAGTTTGTTTTTTGTCATTTGAGTAGCTGGATGATGGAATGAGTTTTATGTTTAAATGAAATTATAAGGTCTTGGAGGAAGTGGTTGTGTTTTTTAACTATGGTTTAATTTAAGATCCTGCAGCTGCTGCTCAGCAAATAAGATATGTGTGTGTTCTAATAATCAACCAATATAATGTTCTGCTGTTAGGGTGATGCCAAGTTGATTATGAATATTTGCATAGCAAATTCTAACCACTATTTAAATTATATGCTTTTTCTGCAGAAGCTACTGCAAAGGTCTCTTGGACTGCAAGTTTTCCATTATTCTGTCTGTCCAACTCTGCTCTTTCTCCTGGTTCCTCGCTCTTGGACATGAAGTCATAATTCACTTAACAACCAGAGCTAAAATTTATCCAAGATTCTTGACTCTTTCTTACCTTTGCTTCCATATTAATTGGTCTCAAATCATTAGAAGTATTTTTGAACTATTATTTTATTTTATATTTCTTGTAAAACACCTCAAATTTTATGGATGGTGTAAAACTAGTTAATAAGTGACATATCAGGACAGAAAAACATATAGCTTGTAGCTCATCCTTTAAAATCAGAATGGCCAAGTGAAAGTCAGTACAGATTCTCATTTTTACTTAAAAAATTCAAAGGTACACATTGGGAATTGAACTACTATGTTTTTTTTTCTTCTTTCTCGAGATGTGACATACACGTTTCCTGGTAAGTAATACTCTACCAGACATTGCGCTAAACCAAAGCAGACAGAGAACTAGTAAAGCTGTTTACTACATCTTACCCAGGCTGAGCTAAATCAGCAGAATATCATCTCAGTAAAAGAGATTTTGACAGGAAGAAGAAATTGCAGAGTCACTGTCTACGACATAGAACCTAACTGGTTTATACAGAAAGAATTTTCAGCAAGTATGCACAAACACATTTAACATGCTGTAAGAACAGCATACCTTTTAGTATATTTCTAGCACAAAACATACATTCACTGGTATCCAGTAAAATAGAAATGAATGCCAACATAAGAAATATTTTTGACTTCATAGCACTAAGAACTAAAAAATCACACAGCATATAATACTTTCATCTCCATGTGGGTAATCATGGAAGTTCCAACATCATATCCTCTAGGTTAGCCTGAGTATTCATTTATAAGAATATTTTTTTCAAAAAGAATGTTTGAAAGAGACTTCTAGGTACAGTGGGGCTCATCAGGACTAGCAGAAGACAGTGACACAAGGACTGCAAATGGAGTTGATTTTCACATGTGGCTTTAAGGTAAAGTATATCTGTTTACATTGATTTTTACAGCCAAGATAAGCTGTGATCATAGGAGATTAGAAATCTCAAGACAGACAGCCGGCTTGAGTAACACCCTAAATAAATATCAAAAACCCTATTGAGGCTTAAGGACAGGAACTCTGATTCGTATTAAAAAGAGTTGTGGGTATACAAAAATATTTATGCAAAGCTTGCTGAAATAAAGAGGATTTGTGATGGTGGGTTATTCCACACTGTTGACATACCAACATGTATGCTGGGGGAAGAGATCCTTTAGGTGGAATCTTTGATGTGGGCTTGCTCCAGAAAAGTCTGACTCAGAAGCACATGAGAGAAGTATTTACTTGGGGAGGGGATGTATACTAGGGTTACTAAGCACCAAGGTTAATGAATACTTGAAGGTGTTTCAAGAGAAATGGGTCCGGGAGGATTAAGTCATACTGGTTTTGACCCATCAATACTTAACATGAACAAACTACTGCAGAGCAGAGTCAGTCTTTTCAAGATGTATTCTGTCATCACTAGCTGAGACTATTGTCCTACGGGTCAGTGACATCCAGAATGATCCTATTCATTGGTTGGAGGTAGGACCTAATGCTGTAGATTGTTCTAGAAAGCTGGCCTTGAGGATAATTTGCACAAGTCACCACTAAACCGTCATGTAAGTCTTGTCTCCAGCCTTCTTTTGCTGTCCTGTATTCTAAAAACATTTTTTCAAAAGCTAGAAAAATCTGTAAATGGGAGTAGCATGTTGAATATGTCACCAGCCACTTCATCTTTACCTTGCTGTAACGTTGTTGTAAAAGCTGCCATGTTGAATCCAGGAATCTGCTCCAGAAGCTGTCTTTCAATATACTTTTCCACCAAATAAATATATTCACTAAATCAGGCACACAGTTGAGTTTATTCTCTTCCCGGTCTTAAAACTCCTGGTAGTACTTGTCCATGAAATTTCTCTATAATAACTGGAACTCATCATCCACGATAATGTCCTCTGAATACCCAACCACACAGCACCAAGTTCTGCATCAGAGTCAGAGGAGAAGGAATGTATGAAGCTCTCTTCTTCTAAGGCATTAATTGTGACCATCGCCCCTACACCCATGCAAGCAGACTAGTGGCCTAACGTGCATGGAGGCACGTTGGTCAGCCGGGGAGGAGGCCTCACCAACCAGACCTCCACTCTGCTGCAGCAGGCCCAGACATTTGTTATGGACTCTGAACTATTTTTTAATCTATTTTCAGGGTATCTTCTATGACCACCTTATAATTTAATTATTTTCTAATATCTCTAGGATTAATACCCATCCCATCCCAATCATCCAGATTGAGCTTCCTAAAAAAAACAAATACATCAGGTTGTTTTAAGCAGTTATTTGATTATTTTCAATTACCTGTTTTAATAAAAATAAAAACATTTCTTGGTTTTCTTAAGTATCCCTCTAAATTTTATGATCATACTTTCTAGCTTAATTTCAGCTGGTAACCAATTCGCTTTTTGGACACCACTACAATCACATCAACTCTAAATCACATACTTACCTTTTATATGCTGCCTGGAAACATCTATATTTTCCTTCACCATTCACTAATTCAAATGTTATTTCACTTGTGAAGCTCATATTACTTAACTCACCCTTCCAAGTAACTACTCAAGACTGGTTACTTGAATAACATGTTTTGGAATCTAAAAAATTCAAATCAGTCCAAGTTTAGTTATATAATTTTGAGCAAAACATTTGTCTCTCTGAAACTCCCTCTCCCTTACTGTAAAAAATTGAATATGGTTGTGAGTTTTAGAATCTTCTTGCTCAAGGTGTTACCAAATAGAATCAGAATTGGCATTACCTGGAAACGTGTAAGAAATGAGAAATCTCAGGCCTTACCCAAAACATTTTAATCAGAATGTGCATTTTAACATAATCTTCAGGTTATTGTATGCATATTGATTAAAATCAGGGAAGTACTGACACATTGTAACTGCATCTAGCATTGTCCTCTTCAACTGGAATATACATTCAGCAAATTTTTTTCTCTTCCCATTAGGCTGCTCATCTGTAATACTTTGAATATTATATTCATTTCTTGCAATTATTTTCTTATTTGTATTACACATCTGTTAGATTGTTAAGTCCTCAGTGATGGACACCTTTGTATCCCAAACATTTGGCCTTATGCTGATATATAGTAAATGCTTAATAAATGTTTACCAGCAAGGTGATCAACTCATGTGCAACATTTAAAAGTGTATAATAAATGCAAAATGGTGTTTGTAAACACTGAAATTCTAAATACTACATTAAAAAAATCTAAATTGATTTCAGTGGCCACATGAAGCTTTTGGATGGTGTATATGAGTTCACTTGTTGATCATCACTTTAGAAATTACTCATCTCTGGAGATAAATTACATTTCACTCATTAGTGTGTTTATGAGTCTCACAATCTAATGCAGTGGCTTTTTACTTTCACTTTTAATTATATAATTAATTATATTGCCCTGCAGTGAGCAAAGATAAATGCTACAAAAGACTAAAAATAGAAATGAAAATAAGGGGCAAAATTCTTGTCATATATATCAAAAGGTTACTATAATTTTGGAGAGTTTAGATGTAGATCAACAGGGACCTCAGCAACTCAGGATGGCCTAATAAGGACTGGAATATAAACTCCCTGAAGGCAGTAAGATACCATAATGTGAGGTATTCAAGGGCCACTGTGACCTCAAGATGAGAACCTTGGGAGAATTTCAGATAAGCATTATTCCCAAGGACAATGGCTGGCATGTCAAATTGAAGTTGTTAAAAAACAAACATTTATTAAATGGATGAATCATTATTTCATAAATCCATAAATCCATGAATTCATGATTCATAAGGAATCATAAAGAAATTGAGCAGGAAGCATTACTTCAGAAGAGTTTCACAAGGAGTAAAGAATATTCAAAGTTGGAAAATTAGATTAAAGATTATTTTTAAATGCTTTGGAGTTATCTCAAATGTGCTTGCAGACAATTTTCTCAGTTACCACACAGCACTCAATAATTTCTGTTGCCACTTTGCTTAGTTCTATTCCTGTGAAAGAGCACTGACCCTTTTATGGTTACAACTAGTCTTTTCTTCTGTGCAATGCCATCTCTATCACACATTGGAGTTGCTTGGACTGGCAAGCATTACTACCAGAGTTGTCTTAGATCCCTAAACTAACTGAGTCACTGGGTACAACAGTGATTACTTGAGGTTTTGTTGTTGTTGTTTTTATTTTTTCTTTTTTCCCTAGCAATTGCCCCTGCCTCTACTGTGCATGGTTTATTATCTTCCTTTAAACACCAAAGCCTTTTGCACTGGATTCAAGAGGATCTGTATCAGTTAGAGTCCTGGCAAGAAACAAACATACTTAAATTGCATAATTTAAATAAAGTTAAATGAAACAGATAATTTACAAAGGTGAGGACAGGCAGCAAAGTCAAGAGAGTAAGAGTAGGCTTGGGGAGCACATAGATGATATTTAATATAGGTTTCAGACTGTAGGGGAAACTATGTATGATGAGGAGTGAGGAAAACGTTTTTCCCATATTATGGCATTCTTTTATCAGAGTTTCTCAACTATGGCACAATGTCTCTAGACATTGCAAAATGTCCTCAGAGGAACTAAATAATGCCTGGTTGAGGACCATTGTATTGGATGAAAGAACAGCAGAGTTGAACATACTCTGATTAATTTGTTAAAAATTAATTGCTAGTAATCTCACCCCTTATTTCACTCAGTTTATGTCCTGGAGGGAACATGGCATGAAACTTATTAATAGATCATTATTTGGTCTATTTTCATACACATGCCCCTCATTGTTCAGTCTCTTTCCTGTGATACTAATACATTTTTAAATGTATTTTTTCATGCCTTTAAGCCTAAACTAATTCATCTGATGCTCAAACAAAATAGTAATCTCTTAAAACGCTGGAGGAAGAACTGGGCTTATTGCCCGTATAGAGTGATGGTACTTTCTGAAGCGATTTCTAAACTCTATTAAATTTTTACCTTACACATCTGTCCCCTACATAAGATTTGAGTCCATTTTTTTGAGGTTGATGTCCCAGTGTACCATGAAATGCTCAACATATGACTTTCTTGATTTCAAATTATGCTGGCTTCTTATAAAAAAAAACATAACAACTATTCTCTGATAACTGAAGAGTTCACATGGCATCGATGGGTGCATGGTTTGGATTTTCATTGGTAAACATTTCCAGAAAACTCTTCAGTTGCATATACAAATAGACTTCTACACCACTTGAAATACACCAGTTCAAATATGTGGTTAAACTCTAGCAGTGGACACAATTCAGGCTCACAATATATTCCCTACCTATATAGCTATTTTAGGTATATTTATAGTATACATAATCATATATTCTTTGAAAAGAAAAGGAAAAATTTTGCCCTTGATAGTCCCAGCAAAGAAATCAGCCCCACTAATTACTGACTTTCTTTTTTTTCTTGTTTTATTTTATTATAATTTAAGTTTTAGAGTACATGCGCACAATGTGCAGGTTTGTTACATATGTATACATGTGCCATGTTGGTGTGCTGCACCCATTAACTTGTCATTTAGCATTAGGTATATCTCCAAATGCTATCCCTCCCCCCTACCCCCACCACACAACGGTCCCCAGAGTGTGATGTTCCCCTTCCTGTGTGCATGTGTTCTCATTGTTCAATTCCCACCTATGAGTGAGAACATGCAGTGTTTGGTTTTATGTCCTTGCTATAGTTTGCTGAGAATGAGGGTTTCCAGTTTCATCCATGTCCCTACAAAGGATATGAACTCATAATTTTTTATGGCTGCATAGTATTCCATGGTGTATATGTGCCACATTTTCTTAATCCAGTCTATCGTTGTTGGACATTTGGGTTGGTTCCAAGTCTTTGCTATTGTGAATAGTGCCGCAATAAACATACGTGTGCATGTGTCTTTATAGCAGCATGACTTATAATCCTTTGGGTATATACCCAGTAATGGGATGGCTGGGTCAAATGGTATTTCTAGTTCTAGATCCCTGAGGAATCGCCACACTGACTTCCACAATGGTTGAACTAGTTTACAGTCCCACCAACAGTGTAAAAGTGTTCCTATTTCTCCACATCCTCTCCAGCACTGACTTTCTTACAACACGGAAGTGGAGACATTTGCCCAAACTCATACTCTAGTGCAGCATCCTGTCTTTGGATATTGGTATTGTATATATTTGACTTTATAATATATAAACTTATCTCTTTTGTGAGTTTCTACATTATAACTCCCTGCGTCCTGACTCCCCCAAAGAGATATTTTTGAAGTTCTAGCCATGTCAAGGAGAATCAATGATATTGTGAATATCTTTATCTGTATTCTGAATTACTACGTGAAATATCCTGATATTGAATTTCGTGGTTTCTTTAAATACAATAATATATGTTGTAAAGCTCTTTCCAGATATTAATTTTATAATTATAATTATCACCATTATTATTAATGAGCTAAAAGGATAATCACATGATAATGAGATGCCCTGTCAGTTCCAACTAAAACAGTATTTGTTATTGTCAAACCTTAGACTTGTGGCAGTACAGGTAGAATAATGTCTTAAATGTCTCAGAAAAATTCCAAGTGAAGTTGAATTCTCTAGACTCAAAAGAATAAGCTTGTTCTGAACCTGAATGTGTTAAGCTGTATGGATTTCTAATGGTAATGCAAACACACTTTTACCAGAGATTAGCACAACATCCTCTTTTAGATATTAAAATCTTATAAATTGTATTCCTACTTGAGTTTGCTATCTCTTCAGCATATAAGAGCCTGTTTTAATTTTGCCATCATGGTAGTTAATAGTGTTGAAATGACTTTCCCAGTACACAAAGCTAGTCAGAAACAAAACTCGAATGTAAATCTCATAAATCTGAGAATTGTGTGCTTTACAGAATAACATCAGTAAAATGGATAAACTCAAGACAACATACCCAAATCACTCATTAATGCAAGATGAGGGGAAAAAACAGTTCATTGCTCATTTAAAAAATACTTTTGGTAGGAGGTGTTTATGTACAATTTGCTCCAAGGTATTAAGAATGAGGGCATTGCCTCAAAGGCTTATGAGAGCATTGAAACTGTAAAAATATAAGAAACTGTCATAAGTATGTCCACTGGTTTTTAAAATAGAATAAAGTGATCTTTGGATGATTTTTGAATACCATGCAGATCCTTAATTCTACATGTGGTAACTCTCGTTGAAATATGCATTGACACATTTTGACCCTTACGTTTTATCCACTTCTATCTCCAATTGCACTTATGACAGATTATAAAATATTGCTAATTTCGTTGAATAGTTCACTAAAAACTATTTGGAAACTGAATTATCTAATGACACATTTCATCCTTAAAAGTGGCAAACTTTTTTTTTTTTTTGATACAGAGTCTTGCTCTGTCACCCAGGCTGGAGTGCAGTGGCACAATCTTGGCACACTGCAACCTCCGCCTCCCGGGTTCAAGTGGTTCTCCTGCCTCAGCCTCCCAAGTAGCTGGAACTACAGGTGCGTACCACTGCACCCAGCTAATTTTTGTATTTTTACTAGAGATGGGGTTTTACCATGTTGACCAGGCTGGTCTCGAACTCCTGACCTCATTATCCGCCTGCCTTGACCTCCCAAAATGTGGGATTATACGTGTGAGCCACAGTGCCTGGCCAACTTTTTTTTGTTGTTGTTTAAATAGTCAAACAACACTGCTTTTCAATATTTTAAAAATAGTGAGACAACACTGTTTTTCGGTATCAAGACACTCATATACTAGTTTTAGAACTATCAACTGACACTGCTGAGAACTCTGAAAAACTATGTAGTTCACTGTGCCTCCATTTCTTTTTTTAAAATTATACTTTAAGTTCTAGGGTACATGTGCACAACCTGCAGGTTTGATTCATGGGTATACATGTTCCATGTTGGTTTGCTGCACCCGTCAACTCATTTACATTAGGTATTTCTCCTAATGCTATCCCTCCTCCCCCAGCCCCCACCCCTGCAACAGGCCCCGGTGTGTGATGTTCCCTGCTCTGTGTCCAAGTGTTCTAATTGTTCAATTCCCACCTATGAATGAGAACATGCAGTGCTTGTTGTTCTGTTCTTGTGATAGGTTGCTGAGAATGATGGTTTCCAGCTTCATCCATGTCCCTGCGAAGGACATGAACTCATTCTTTTTTATGGCAGCATAGTATTCCATGGTGTATAAGTGCCACATTTTCTTAATCCAGTCTATCATTGATGGACATTTGGGTTGGTTCCAAGTCTTTGCTATTGTGAATAATGCTGCAATAAACATACGTGTGCGTGTGTCTTTATAGTAGCATGATTTATAATCCTTTGGGTATATACCCAGTAATGGGATCGCTGGGTCAAATGGTAATTCTAGTTCTAGATCCTTGAGGAATCACCACACTGTCTTCCACAATGGTTGAACTAATTTACATTCCCACCAACAGTGTAAAAGCTTTCCTATTTCTCCACTTTCGCTCCAGCATCTGTTGTTTCCTGACTTTTTAATGATTGCCATTCTAACTGGCGTGAGATGGTATCTCACTGTGGTTTTGATTTGCATTTCTCTGATGGCCAGTGATGATAAGCATTTTTTCATGTGTCTGTTGGCTGCATAGATGTCTTCTTCTGAGAAGTGTCTGTTCATATCCTTTGCCCACTTTTTGATGGGTTTTTTTTTCTTGTAAATTTGTATGAGTTCTTTGTAGATTCAGGATATAAGCCCTTTGTCAGATGAGGAGATTGCAAAAATTTTCTCCCATTCTGTAGGTTGCCTGTTCACTCTGATGGTCATTTCTTTTGCTGTGCAGAAGCTCTTTGGTTTAATTAGATCCCATTTGCCTATTTTGGCTTTTGTTGTCATTGCTTTTGGTATTTTAGTCATGAAGTCCTTGGCCATGCCAATGTACTGAATGGTATTGCCTAGGTTTTCTTCTACGGTTTTTATGGTTTTAGGTCTAACAGTTAAGTCTAATCCATCTTGAATTAATTTTTGTGTAAGGTGTAAAGAAGGGATCCAGTTTCAACTTTCTACATATGGCTAGCCAGTTTTCCCAGCACCATTTATTAAATAGGGAATCCTTTCCCCATTTTATTTTGTCAGTTTTGTCAAAGATCAGATGGTTGTAGATGTGTGGTGTTATTTGTGAGGCCTCTGTTCTGTTTCATTGGTCTATGTGTCTGTTTTGGTACCAGTACCATGCTCTTTTGGTTACTGTAGCCTGTAGTATAGTTTGAAGTCAGGTAGCATGCTGCCTCCAGCTTTGTTCTTTTCATTTAGGATTGTCTTGGAAATGTTCGCTCTTTCTTGTTTCCATATGAAGTTTAAAGTAGTTTTTTCCAATTCTGTGGAGAAAGTCATTGGTAGCTTGATGGAGAAGGCATTGAATCTATAAATTACCTTGGGCAATATGGCATTTTCACGATATTGATTCTTCCCATCTATGAGCATATAATATTCTTCCATTTGTTTGTGTCGTCTTTTGACTCATTGAGCAGTGGTTTGTAGTTCTTCTTGACGAGGTCCTTCACATCCCTTGTAAGTTGGATTCCTAGGTATTTTATTCTCTTTGAAGCAATTGTGAATGGGAATTCACTCATGATTTGGCTCTCTGTTTGTCTGTTAATGGTGTATAAGAATGCTTGTGATTTTTGCACATTGATTTTGTATCCCAAGACTTTGCTGAAGTTGCTTATCAGCTTGAGGAGTTTTTGGGCTGAGAAGATGGGGTTTTCTAAATATGCAATCATGTCATCTGCAAAAAGGGACAGTTTGACTTCCTCTTTTCCTAATTGAATACACATTATTTCTTTCTCTTGCCTGATGGCCCTGGCCAGAACTTCCAACACTATATTGAATAGGAGTGGTGAGAGAGGGCATCCCTGTCTTGTGCCAGTTTTCAAAGGGAATGCTTCCAGTTTTTGCCCATTCAGTATGATATTGGCTGTGGGTTTGTCATAAATAGCTCTTACTATTTTGAGATACTTTCCATCAGTACCTAGTTTATTAAGAGTTTTTAGCATGAAGGGCTGTTGAATTTTGTCAAAGGCCTATTCTGCATCTATTGAGATAATCATGTGGTGTTTGTCTTTGGTTCTGTTTATATGTTGGATTACATTTATTGATTCACATATGTTGAACAAGCCTTGCATCCCAGGGATAAAGCCGACTTAATCATGGTGGATAATCTTTTTGACGTGCTGCTGGATTCGGTTTGCCAGTATTTTATTGAGGATTTTTGTATTGATGTTCATCAGGGATATTGGTCTAAAATTCTCTTTGTTTTGTTGTGTCTCTGCCAGGCTTTGGTATCAGGATGGTGTTGGCCTCATAAAATGAGTTAGGGAGGATTCCCTCTTTTTCTATTTATTGGAAGAGTTTCAGAAGGAATGGTACTAGCTCTTCTTTGTACCTCTGGTAGAATTTGGCTATGGATCCATCTGGTCCTGGACTTTTTTTGTTGGTAAGCTATTAATTATTGCCTCAATTTCAGAAGCAATAATTGTTTGCTCTTGCTTCTCTAGTTCTTTTAATTGTGATATTAGGATGTTGATTTTAGATCTTTCCTGCTTTCTCTTTTGGGCATTTAGTGCCATGAACTTCCCTGTACACACTGCTTTCAGTGTGTCCCAGAGATTCTGGTACATTGTGTCTTTGTTCTCATTGGTTTCAAAGAACATCTTTATTTCTGCCTTCATTTTGTTATTTATCCAGCAGTCATTCAGGAGCAGGTTGTTCAGTTTCCATGTAGTCATGTGGTTTTGAGTGAGTTTCTTAATCCTGAGTTCTAATTTGATTGCTCTGTGGTCTTAGAGACAGTTTGTTGTGATTTCCATTCTTTTACATTTGCTGAGGAGTGCTTTACTTCCAACTATGTGGTCAGTTTTAGAATAAGTGTGATGTGGTGCTGAGAAGACTGTATATTCTGTTGATTTGGGGTGGAGGGTTCTGTAGATGTCTATTAGTTCTGCTTGTTGCAGAGCTGAGTTCAGGTCCTGGGTATCCTTGTTAACCTTCTGTCTCATTAATCTGTCTAATATTGACAGTGGGGTATTACAGTCTCCCATTATTATTGTGTGGCAATCTAAGTCCCTTTGTAGGTCTCTAAGGACTTGCTTTATGAATCTGGGTTCTCCTGTATTGGGTGCATATATATTTAGGATAGTTAGCTTTTCTTGTTGAATTGATCCCTTTACCATTATGTAACGGCCTTCTTTGTCTCTTCTGATCTTTGTTGGTTTAAAGTCTCTTATCAGAGACTAGGATTGCAACCCCTGCCTTTTTTTTGCTTTCCATTTGCTTCGTAGATCTTCCTCCATCCATTTATTTTGAGCCTATGTGCCTCTTTGCACGTGAGATGGGTCTCCTGAATATAGCACACTGACGGGTCTTGACTATTTATCCAATTTGCCAGTCTGTGTCTTTTAATTGGGGCATTTATCCCACTTACATTTAAGGTTAATATTGTTATGTATGAATTTGATCCTGCCATTATGATGTTATCTGGTTATTTTGCCCGTTAATTGATGCAGTTTCTTCATAGCATCGATGGTCTTTACAATTTGGCATGTTTTTGCAGTGGCTGGTACCGGTTGTTCCTTTCCATGTTTAGTGCTTCCTTCAGGAGCTCTTGTAAGGCAGGCCTGGTGGTTGCATAATCTCTCAGCGTTTGTTTGTCTGTAATGGATTTTATTTCTCCTTCACTTATGAAGCTTAGTTTGGCTGGATATGAAATTCTGGGTTGAAAATTCTTTTCTTTAAGAATGTTGACTATTGGCCCCCACTGTCTTCTGGTTTGTAGGGTTTCTGCTGAGAGATACACTGTTAGTCTAATGGGCTTCCTTTGCAGGTAAGTCGACCTTTCTCTCTGGCTGCCCTGAACACTTTTTCCTTCGTTTCAACCTTGGTGAATTTGACAATTATGTGTCTTGGGGTTGCTGTTCTTGAGGAGTATCTTTGTGGTGTTCTCTGTATTTCCTGAATTTGAATGTTGGCCCACCTTGCTATGTTGGAGAAGTTCTGCTGGATAATATCCTGAAGAGTGTTTTCCAAATTGGTTCCATTCTTCCCATCACTTTCAGGTACACCAATCAAATGTAGATTTGGTCTTTTCACATAGTCCCATATTTCTTGGATGCTTTGTTCATTTCTTTTTACTCTTTTTTCTCTAACCTTGTCTTCTCATTTTATTTCATGAATTTGATCTTCAGTCACTGATATCCTTTCTTCCACTTGATTGAATCAGCTATTGAAGCCTTTACATGTGTCACAAAGTTTTCATGCCATGGTTTTCAGCTCCATCAGGTTATTTAAGGTCTTCTCTACTCTGTTTATTCTAGTTAGCCATTTGTCTAGTCTTTTTCCAAGGTTTTTAGCTTCTTTGCGGTGGGTTCAAATACCCTACTTTAGCTGGGAGAAGCTTGTTATTACCAGCCTTCTGAAGCCTACTTCTGTCCACTCATCAAAGGCATTCTCCGTCCAGCTTTGTTCCATTGCTGGTGAGGAGCTGCGATCCTTTGGAGGAGAAGAGGTGCTCTGATTTTTGGAATTTTCAGCTTTTCTGCTCTGGTTTCTCTACATCTTTGTGGTTTTATCTACCTTTGGTCTTTGATGTTGGTGACCTACAGATGGGGTTTTGGTGTAGATGACCTTTTTGTTGCTGTTGATGCTATTCCTTTCTGTTTGTTAGTTTTCCTTCTAACAGTCAGGTCCCTCAGCTGCAGGTCTGTTGGAGCTTGCTGGAGGTCCACTCCAGAGCTTGTTTGCCTGGGTATCGCCAGCAGAGGCTGCAGAACAGCAAATATGGCTGCCTGATCCTTCCTCTGCAAGCTTTGTCCCAGAGGGTCAGCTGCCTATATGTGGTGTCTGTCAGCCCCTACTGGGAGGTGTCTCCTAGTTAGGCTACACAGGGGTCACAGACCCACTTGAGGAGACAGTCTGTCCATTCTCAGATCTCAAACGCTGTGCTAGGAGAACCACTCCTCTCTTCAGAGCTGTCAGACAGGGACATTTAAGTCTGCAGAAGTTGCCCCCTGCCTTTTGTTTGGCTATGCCCTGCCCACAGAGGTGGAGTCTAGAGGCAGTAGGCCTTGTTGAGCTATGGTGGGCTCCCCCTTGTTCGAGTTTCCCAGCCCCTTTGTTTACCTACTCAAGCCTCAGTAATGGCAGTTGCCCCTCTCCCAGCCAGGCTGCTGTCTCACATATCGATCTCAGACTGCTGTGCTAGCAGTGTGCAAGGCTCCATGGGCATGGGAGCCACTAAGCCAGGCACAGGAGAGAATCACCTTGTTTACTGGTTCATAAGACCTTGGGAAAAGCACAGTATTTGGGCAGCAGTGCCCGTTTTTCCAGGTAGTCTGTCACTGTTTCCCTTGGCTAGGAAAGGGAAATCCCCGACCCCTTGCACTTCCAAGGTGAGGCGACACCCCGCCCTGCTTCAGCTCACCTTCTGTGGGCTGCACCCACTGTCCAACCAGTCCCAATGAGATGAACCAGGTACCTCAGTTGGAAACGCAGAAATCACCTGTCTTCTCTGTCGATCACGCTGGGAGCTACAGAATGGAACCGTTTCTATTTGGCCGTCTTGGAATGCCCTCTGCCTCCATTTCTTAAGCTATTAAAATGATTATAAGAATCAGATTCCTTCAACAACAATTCACTATGCCCTACTTAGGTCCCAATTGCTGTGCTCCACACTGGAGCTCTAAAGATGTGTAATAAATCATCTTTTCCCCAAAGCAACTCACGTTCTGTCATGGGTGGTACAAGTCAAATAAAATAACTTATAAAAATGTATCCCAGTATCGACAGTGCTTGAGGAAGAAGAGTAGTGTTGAGTAGGAGAGAAGATATGTAGAAGAAAGCCGGAGCCAAAAAGAGCAGTAGGTAAATGTGGGAAATTTTGCCTGGTCCACAGTTGGACTTTGCCCCAGGGTAAAATTGTTTCCAGAAAAAAAAAAAAAAGGAAAGAACAATTCAATTAAAAAATTCCTATTCATGTGATGAGATGACTACAAAACAGAGATTTATAATTTATAATATAAGATCAGTTTGTCAGGTCATAAAGATAAGCATTTGCATTTATCCCCCAGGCAACCCATAGGTGATAGTTCTTTCTTACTAATCATAATTTTTTCCTAGCTTATCTCCCTGGTCTACAAATGCCTATCTTTGCCCTTTTGCTATGAAAAATTTCCACTGGAATTTTTCATTCTGAAGAGGGCATCATTTACTTGCCAAAATAAATAAAATGATTAAAAATGAAAGATATTCTAAAAGATTATTCTTTGTGGATAATCATTCTACATTCAAAACTTATTTATTGTTGAACCACTGTTCAGGAATAGCATCCAAATCTGGGAATTAGATCTCAATGATACCTGCTCTGAGAGTCATATAATCTACTTGAAATGTTCTTCCTCCAGGAACCTACCTGGCCCTTCCCTCCCATCATTTCTTTCAAGTAATTACTCAAATGTCATTTTCTCAGTGAGGACAGTACTTGTCTCCCTCATCTAAAATTTCAGCCATCCTCATGCACATGTGACCCACTTAATTGTTTTTTCCTATCTCAGCAATAATTACCATGCACCCTAGTTCATTAACTTGTCTTCTTGTCTCTGTGACTAGAATATGATATCCCAAAAAGAGATACTTGTCTTTTCTTTTTTTTTAGTTTTATAGTCTAAGCACTTAGAATAATACCTACCACAAATTGGTTTTGAATGAATAATTGTTGAAGAATGGAAGAATAGTAGAGCTAACATTCTAATCCTTATCTGGACACAAAAATGATCCTCTTTGTTCCAGGTGTGACTGTGATTTACTCTTTTAGTTGACCTTTTAGGAAGTATTTTTTAATGTATCAATGTTCATTTGCAATCCTAGAAAAGAGATTCTGCCCCATTTTAGTTCTAGAGTTTAACACAGCAGCCAAAATAAAAATAAACTGGCAAAAGGAATGTGTTTATGGGAAATAATGGAAATCCTTTTTTCGTTTGTTTTTCCTGAAAAAAACGAAAGAGGCTGGGTGGCAAAGCCAATCTCGCTAATATTTTCTATGGATTAGGTCTCTAAATCTATTAGATAAAATGTCTCAGCTAACTGGCTTTGGGAAATTAAGCAAATGAAGTATTATGATGAAAAAATTAGGTTATTTATAAACTGCCTGTTCCCCTGACCTAGAATTTGTCTACTATCCACAAGTGTTGCTGTGTCATTACATCTGCAGTCTCAACTTTTCATTGTACTTTGGAAATAATCCTGCTCCTAATCAGGGGAATTAGAGAATGCTTGGAGTGATGCTGCACATTTTCACCATCACCTAATTTTGACCTCAGGTCTAAGTAATATTTAGAACCTCGTTTAGTGTCTTGGATCACGTTTTATTTATTTATTTTTTTTTGACAAACAAATACTCCTATCGCCATTTCTTAGTTCTTCACTATTCTTTGCATTTGAATTTTTCAGTATGTAATAGAGTAACCTAATCCTGGATCCTTTTTACTCACTTTAAAACGTACCCGTACAACTTCATCACAATATATTTAAAACTCTAGTTTAAATAAATATGTTTCTAATATAATAGATATTAAAAATGGGCTCCAGTTTGAGTAATATAAATAGACTAATATATCTTAAGAATATATCTTATTAATATATCTTAAAATAGAGCTAAAGTTCTCCTCACTTAGGAATTCTAAGCATAGGCATTTTTAGAATATTGTGGTAGGCAGCCTTCAAGATGCCTAACCCTTGTCCCCTCCAAGTAATTCTTGCCTCCTAGAATTCACACATTTGGATAGAATTTATTCATGTTCTTGCTGAATAGGGCTAACTTTTGTAACCATAAGATATTGTGGAAATGATGCATTGTGCATGACCTCTGAGGCTATGTCATAAAAATACATTGTAGCTTTCTTCTGCCTAGCACTTTTATGATTACTCAATCTAAGGAAAGCCAGCTGCCATGTCAGGAGGATGCTGCTTTAGCTTATTTGGGCAACTGTAGCAAAACACTGAAGACTGGGTAGCTTATAAATAGCAGAAATTTATTTCTCACAGTTTTAGATGTTGGGAAGTTCAAGATCAGGGTGTTGGCAGATTTGATGTCTCCTAAGGCCTCCTTCCTCTTAGATGGCTTTTTGCTGTACCATCACAGGGCAGAAAATGTGAGAGTCCTCTATGGGTTCTCTTTTATAATGGCACTAATTCTACTCTTGAGGGCTCTGCCCTTATGATCTAATCAGCTTTTCCCACCTTTTGATTCCACCATGCTGGCAGTTAGTATTTCAACATGTGAATTTTGAGGGGATATAAATGTTCAGTCTATTGCAACTGCTTAGACAGTCCAGTGGTAAGGTTCATGTGGTGAGGAACTGAGGCTTTCTGCCAACATCCAGTACAAAATTGCCATCCTGTTGAATGAGTCATCTTAGAAGTAGATCTTTGTGTCTCAGTCCAACCTTCAAATGTCTCCAGTCCCAGCCAACAACTTGATTGCAGCCGATTGTGACACTGCAAGCCAGAACCACCATGTAAGCCATTCCTGAATCCTTGACTGAAAGCTACTGTGTGAAATAGTATTTATTGTTGGTTTTAAGCCACTAGGTATTAGAGTAATTTGTTGCCTAGTAAGAGATAACCAATACAAATATGTTCAAAGGTGCTTTCAGAGAACACAGTGTGTCTCAGTAGAATCCCTTATACTAGGGAGTTGATCCTCACAGCTATTCTTAGAAAAAAGTAAAATATATTTTACCAAATTAAAAAAAAAATAACCAAATGCTCAAAGGCATAAGTTGACTTGCACAAGGCTATGCAATTAGAGTGGTAATGTTGAGTTCATCCAGGTCTAATGACTGCGTAGGCAATGCTCTTTTAACAAACAACATCTGTCTTTTTAGTATGATGCCAAAGTTTTAGTTTTATAAACCCCTTCAGAAGTGTCTGGGCCTCCTTTACAAATCATAGCTTCTCTGGTCCCACAATAATTTATTTTTCTTTTTTTTCTTTCTTTTCTATTCTCTCATTCTCTCTCTTTCTGTGTTTCTCTCTCTTTTTCTTTTTAACAATTCTGAGCAAAAATTGTACTAAAATGTATCAGTGGCATAAAAGAATTGTTACTTTTGCATCTAGAGAAGGAAGAGGATTTCTTCTACCCAATATGCTTCCACTGTTCCCATCCTCCATTTCCCCAGTCACTTTCCTTAGCCACACTGCCATATTGGTAGTTCCATGTTTGGAAATGAGCAAAAGGAAAGAGAAAAGAGTATAAAATTCTACTTATTCATTATGTCTTCAACCACAATGCCCAGTTACCCTAGGCACTGAATTAGGAGAGTAGAGTAGAGTCATTCACACATATATAGAGCTTCGGACAACTATCATTTTGAATTACACTATGCTGAGAAACTAGGGAAGCATATCCCAGCACTTAGTCAAATAGATATAAAAGAAACATCTCAGTTTCCTCCATAATTCATAATATGTGAACAGAGACCTGTAAAGAGTCTATAGTGACTCAGTTGGCATCACATTGAGTATGATGTGAGGCTAAAGGAAAAAAATAATGGACTCAGTTGAGAAAACAGAATACATATAATTCATAAAAACACAAACAAAGACCTGTGAATTTTTACTGTGTTCCTACATGAAAACATGTAGGAAACATACATATTTGTTTTTCTAGACATCTAGGGTAACTGAACTGATCATTATCTATAATTTTAATTGTATTGAAATATCAATAAGGAAGTTACTCTCAAATAATTACTTTTATGAAATCACTACGTATATTACCTTGAATTTACTTCATTTTGTTTCTATAAACACATAAGGTTATTATAACTCATGATAAAAATAATAAGAGCCTTTTTGTTATTAGTGAAAAATCATCAAATACTCAAAAGATATTTTCTTCGTTCTTTTAGGATGAAAAAAATTAAATATTTTCTTTTCAAAATATTTAATTCCATGAAAGTTGTGTAATCCTATTTTCCAGGGAAATATCTATTCTTCAAACTTCTTATTTTGGGTTCCAGGTTTTTCCTTAATGGGCTGAATTGTCACCAAGTATTCCAAGTCAACAATTTCAACAGTCACTCTTGTGGGGTTATATTTCAAACTTTCAATCTTTGTGATAATAATAATGATAGTAATACATCATTACAATTCAAGAAAGGCTAGCTGTAAGGTGAAGACGTAGTGTTGGTCTTAGGGAAGTCAGTTTGCTGCTTTTTGCACTTTCCCTTTAATCCTAGAGGTGGACTTCAGGCTCCCTTTCCTCTATTGACTGCCTCAGCAATTTCCAGCAATTCCCCTTCCTAGTGTAAAGGGTTAAGAATTTTCTACAACCATTACATAACAAAGAAGTCAGAAACTAGAGACTAAATACTTTTTTTCTGAACTGGCCAAAGTGTCCTGTTTGTTTTAATTTTATAAAAACCTGAATTTGCAGAATGTATTTGCCTGGACTGAACTTGCTTACCCTTAAGCCATCTGTTTCCAGAAAGCAAAGGTTGTTAATTAATCTTTGCTCAAGCTCTTTTCTTGTCTCCCTTTTCTCCTGACCTACTGACGTGCCTGTACCATTAAAAACAGAAGAAAACAAAACAAAAAAAACACACAGTTAATGGCCAGAAGTCACTCTTGCTTTTAGATGGACTCCCCTGCTGCAAACAAATTAAGCTTTTCTTTTTCCCCCCTCACCTGAAAATTTTCACTCTTATCCGAGAGTTTCAATCTAGGTCGCACAAAAATAGTGTTCCTTGCCAAAGTGACAGGGCTCTGTTTTATGACTACGTCCTTTGCATATTTCACATTCTCTTCTCGGCATCTTTCCTCCCACCTCTTTACTCCATTGCCCTTTGTCTGTGTATGGCATGACGACGTTGATTGTTTTATTGCCGTGGATCACTTTTGTAGCTCTTTTTGAAATGACGGATAAGTAATTCAGACTTCAGTCAATTGCCAACCCTTCCACATGTGTCCAGATCTGAACTCTTTTAATTTCTCAAGGCCTTTACCCTGTAATGATCACCCTTTGTTCTATGCCATCATTTTCTTTCCCTATCTACTGAACCTTTCCAATTACACTTTAATAATCCGGTCTTAAATAACAATAAGTAACAAAAACATAAAAACTACAATCAAAAAAATATCTAACCTTGGCCTGAATTCCTTTTCAATTACTACCTTGTCTCTCTGCTGCACTTCCTGAAAAAAAAGTTGAAATAATTATTTCTGGTCATCATCACTACTTCCATTCTTTTTGTTCTGTTTGGTTGTTTGTTTTTGGAGACAGAGTCTTGCTCTGTTGCCCAGGCTGGAGTGCAGTGGTGTGATCTCAGCTCACTTCAACCTCCACCTCCTGGGTTCAAGTGATTCTCCTGCCTCAGCCTCCTGAGTAGCTGGGATCACAGGCATGCACCACCATGCCCAGCTAGTTTTTGTATTTTTAGTAGAGACTGGGTTTCACCATGTTGACCAGGCTGGTCTCAAACTCCTGAACTCAGGGGATCCGCCCACTTCAGCCTCTCAAAATGCTGGGATTACAGGTGTGAGCCAGCTCACCCAGCCTTCAACCTGATCCAGTAAAGATTTGATCAAGACTAATCTACTGAGACTGCTGTTGTCAAGGTCTCCCATGACCGTCCTAGTACCAAATCCAATGTTCATTTTCCATTTATATCTTTTGTTGTTGTTGTTGTTTTGGAGATGGGATGTCTCTCTGTCACCCAGGCTGGGGTGTAGTGGTGTCATCTCCACTCACTGCAACCTCCGCCTCCCGGGCTTAAGCGATTCTCCTGCCTCAGCCTCCCGAGCAGCTGGGATTACGGGCACCCACCACCATGCCCAGCTAATTTTTGTATTTTTAGTAGAGACAGGGTGTCACCATGTTGGCCAGGCTGGTCTCGAGTTACTGACCTCAAGTGATCCACCCGCCTCAGTCTTCCAAAGTTTTGGGGATTACAGGTGTGAGCCACCATGCCCAGTCTCCTTTGACATCTTAATCAAGTTCCAGCCATATAAACATGTTTGTTTATTCCATCTTCTTAAAACAACTTTTCTCTTGATGCCAATTACCTCTCCCTCTTTTAGTTTTCTTCCTTCCTCAAAGGCCACTCCCCATTTTAATTTTTGGCTGCTCTTTCTGTCCTATACACATAAAATAATAATTCAGGGATTCTTTCAGATCCTTTTTCACTATTTCTATTTTTTTATCTGCAAAATCTCCTCAGGAGATTTCTCTAAGTCCTATAAATTCAAAGAGCATCTATAGTGAAATTATTTCCAGATATGTATCTCCAGCCTTGACCACTTCTTGGAACTTCAGACTCCTACATCCAACTTCTTGCTTGACGTTTCACTTAAGATGTTAAGCATCTCACAGTTAGCATGGTCAAAACATAACACTTGCTATAACTCAGTTCAACCTGTGTATCACCTATTCTTTCCTCTTGTGGTGAATTCTATAAGCATATACTCACTTGCTTCAGAGAAAAATAATCCATGTCTTCTTTCTTTCTGTAAACTTTACATCCATTTCATCTGTAAGTCCTGTTGACTGTCTGCTGTAATTTCATCTACTTCTTTCCAGTCTCACCTGTATGATTTGGAATTGGTCTACCATATCTTTCACAGAAGACTACAATAGCTTTCTAATTGGTATCTCTTTAATTTCCAAACAAACCTTGGTAGAGCAACCAAAGCATCCTATAAAGAAATAAATCAGTTAATTTTGTGGCCTCTCAATCCCTTTAAAATGCAATTCAAACTTCTTAACTCTGGTTTACAAAGCTCCTACCTTTTCTTGCAATCTCGTTTCATAGCTTTCTGCCCCTCACTCAATGTGCTTAACAAACACTGGTCTTCTTTGTATATCTGAGCTTGTTTCTGATACAAGTTTTTCACTAAATATTCCCTCTGCCTGGAATACTGTTTCCTGTTCCTTGACTGGCTAGGTCCTTCCCACCATTAAAATGCTACCTCCTCAGAGAAAACAACCCAATCACTACTACATGATGGTATTTTCAGTATCTGCATAGCAATTATTCAGTATCTACATAGCATTTATATTACTATCGGATATCCTTATAATCACTACATCACAAAAAGGATGAGTGATTGTCACTCATTAAAAAGTGTAGTATTTTCGGCTGGGCGCGGTGGCTCACTCCTGTAATCCCAGCACTTTGGGAGGCCAAGTTGGGTAGATCACGAAGTCAGGAGACCGAGATCATCCTGGCTAACACAGTGAAACCCCGTCTCTACTAAAAATACTAAAAATTAGCTGGGCGTGGTGGCGGGCACGTGTAGTCCTAGCTACTCGGGGACTGAGGCAGGAGAATGGCGTGAACCCGGGAGGCGGAGCTTGCAGTGAGCCGAGATGGCGCCACTGCACTCCAGCCTGAGTGACAGAGCGAGACTGCATCTCAAAACTAAAAAATAAAAAAATAAAAAATAAAGTGTGCTATTTTCTTTATTGCATGCATTGCTTATATTTCCATGAGAGGTCTAACAACCTTGAGAGAACAATGTCTGGCCCACTGTAAGTGATTAAGTGCTTGTTGAATAAGTGAATCTAGGCTTCTCTGTTATTCAGGCAAACAATGTGAGCTAGGTAAATAAATTGCTTGCAGCCTCTGTACATCAGGACTATAGGATTATTTTGTCTTAATGAGCCTGAAGCTCCTGGAAGAAAAAATGTCTGAGTCAGATTCTGAAGAATAATAACATTTTAAAAAGTAGTATTCTAAATTCATCCTTTTGAATTTGAATGCATTTTAAGAATTGGAAAAGTTAAAGATTGGTAAGAAAATACCACAGTTTTTAAATGTAATTTATTTTTAAAGACCTACTGTGCTGGTTAAAGCTACTTAATTTTCACTTTTTAAAATAAAGAATAACATCTTTAAAAATAAAAACAAAATAACAAAATATATGACAATCACTCCCTTATCTACAACTTATTGATTTTTTTCACTACACTGACTATTCTTCATTCAGTTGCATGATTTGAACCCTCTTTGTCTCTTTATTGAAAAGTTAATAATGCTGCAGCAATACCTTGGCTATTGTGAATTCGAATCTTTAAAAAAAATCAAAGTACCTGAAATTAAAACAAATGACACCTATTTACAACTGATTTATTGGAATGTTAGCTAGATGGGGTAAATGGTACTGTTTGCAGTATTACATTTTACTGCTGTGTGTGCTCTGGGGAACCAGAGCTTTTGTCACAGGTTGAAAGCACAGAAGGATTTAAACAAAACACAGTGTCCAGAAGGGGATGGTAATATATTAGGTAATATAAACAAACAAACAAAAATTTTCATTTAACCTGTGCTAAAGTGTACTTTCAAAAATGTATACATCTTTTTCAAAGGAATACTATTTTTATAAAAGTGAAATCAAATTTAGTGTAATTCAACACACTAGGTTTTATCATGCACTTACTATGTTCTAAACATTTGCTTTCTTCAGCCAGACACATTTTATACTGAGCTTATAATAGCAAATGAAATCCAGTACTAGGCCCAGGGGTAGAATACAAGAGAACACATTGAATGCCAAAACTGCCTGATTCTGTGTAACATAATGTAAAAGGCTTTTTGAAGTTATCATAATTATAAGCCACATAATCATATTTTTACTTAGAGCAACATTTTATTTTATAACAAACTGCAATTATGAGAAAGCAGAACACATGGACATACAAAGGGAAATAATAGTCACTGGGAATTCCAAAAAGGGGGTAGGTGAGAGATTGAAAGATTCACTATTGGGTACAATGTCCGCTATTTGGGTGATGGGTACACTGGAAGCCAAGATATCACCATTATGCAGTACAGACATGTAGCAAACCTGCACATGTACCCCATGAATGTGTAAAAATTAAAAAAAAATTATTAAAGAAAGCAGTTAAAACTAGTCAAATCTTTCAAAAACTTGAAGGATTCAAATGAAGGAGAAAAAATCCCTAACTAAGGGTTGGTAAAATATCAAGACTCAGAGAAAACAATACACATTAAAATGTACATTTTACTGCTTTAGATCTATTTTTTGGTGTTCTGAAAAAAAATATTTTATTGGGAAAATTGTTTCTCCTATGATGATTGTATTGTGATATTCAGTACTATAATATACATAAAAACATTATTTTAGGTAAATTAATGCTCTGTTAGGTCAAGAGTTCTAAAATGCTCCAAAACTTAAAGAGTACAGCTCCTTTGCAACTCTAGAAAGGAAACTAGAGGGATTTTTACATCCAGGGAATGAAATCCTGAGTAAACGAGAAAGAAATAGTCTCAGCATTGTTCTTTTTATCTCTTTGCCAAAGCAGTTCGGAGCCACTTGATGGAAAAGTGACAAAAATAAAACAAGCAATACAAATGTGTGTGTATGTGTATGTGCATATGTGTGTACATAATACGCGTGTGTGCATTTCATACATGTATTACTTTCCTAGGGCTGCTGTAACAAATTACCACAAACCATGTGGCTTAAAACAACTGAAATTTATTCTCTGACAGTTCTGGAGGCCATAAATTTGAAATTAAGGAGCTGGCAGGGCCATGCTTCCTTTGAAGGCTCTGGGGGAAATTCCATCTTTGCTTTTGATGATTGCCAACAAGCCTTCGCGTTCCTTGGCTTATAGGTGCATTGCTCCATTCCCCGCCTCCATTATCACATGGCCTTCTTCCCTCTGTATGTTTCTGTGTCCTCTATGTTTGTGCTTCTGTGTCCAAATCTGTTTTTCCTTTCTTGTATAAAACCATCAGTCATTGGATTTAGGGTCTACCCTATCCTAGTATGTCATCATCTTAACTTTATTACTTCTGCAAAGACTACATTCCCACATAAGGTAACACTCACATATACTGGGGATTAGGACTAGAACATATCTCTATAGGGGAAATAAATCAACTCACCACCACAAAACACAATGCCACGAATTCTCTGAACATTTGTATAAGTATATTGTCACCCTAGAATTCTCAGGAAAATCAGCTTTAGTGTCGTTTTATTTAAAGTTAGTAAGCTGAAAAATAGTATGTGAAGAAATGAGTTTGAGACATGAATCTATATTCCTTTATATTGGTTTGTAATTTTAACAAATGTATCCCATGACTGAAGTCCCTGGGCATGTCGTTGTAAACAAAATATCATAATACAAAATTTTAAGAAGCTAATAATTCTCCTCTTGCAGATGACCAAATGATGAACTTTTGCTTAGTTGAGGAACACTGGACATAATTAGGTTTTACTGGTTATTCCATTAATTGAACACGTTTCCTAAATTTAATTTGATGTTATATTTTCAGTAATTTTATTACTATGGATTGAGTTGGGCTCTTTGTCCTTAAAGGGTTTAGAGTGTTTACACATGTTAAAATAGGAGAAACACATTTTCGGAAAGTAATGCAGTATGTGAATGGATTATTTACATCATTTAAAAGATATATAAACTGAGATCTGAAACTTGAATGGCTTTTCAAATATTATGGAGCTATCACAGGTACAGAACTCAAATGCATTCATGTGGTGAGGTGGAGGTAAAAATGTTAATGAATTAATGATGTAATTAATGAAATAAGTGTAATAAAACTAAATTAGATATCAAAATAATATAATCAAATGATATAAACAATTGCTATGGGGTCACATGAAAAGAAGAGAACTTTTTGAACAACATATTATCACTTTGGCTGGAGGCTTTTGGATTCATGGACAAATTGTTGTTCAGGAAAAAAGAAATTATTCTTTCAACACACATTTCCTGAGTGCCCTACGTAGCAGGCTCTGTATTTGCTGTACATATTTTCTCTGATGAATTTTGTATCTCTTTAGGACAGGGATTGTGCTTATTTTCCTTCAGCACCACCGCAGTGAACAGTGTGGTGGTGGAGAGGGAGGGACCGAGTTCTTCATTAGGGAATGTGGACTCATAGATTATGACTAATAATCAGAAGTCTTCCCATTCATAGAATGCTTTAGAATTTTTATTTAAATTGTTAATTCAAACATTAATACTGCCTAAAAACTAATCAGAAGACATATACAATTTAAAAAGAAGAAATATAAAAAGTAATAAATGATGTGAGAGGATGTTAATTCTTCAGGCGGATCATGAGGTCAGGAGTTTGAGACCGGCCTGGCCAGCATGGTGAAACCCTGTGTCTACTAAAAATACAAAAATTAGTCGGGCATGGTGGCACGTGCCTGTAATCCTAGCTACTCAGGAGGATGAGGCAGGAGAATTGCTTGAACCAGGGAGGTGGAGGTTGCAGTGAGCCGAAATCGTGCCACTGCACTCCAGCCTGGGTGACAGAGTGAGACTCCATCTCAAAAAAAAAAAAAAAAAAAAAAAAAAAAAAGAAAAAAAAATTGAAGAATTCCTCAATTACAAACCTTTTTTTCCTCCTTTTAATATAAATTCCGACTGGTGGCTACTGATGCTAGATCAACTAGCACTTTGAAAAATATTATTAATTAATTAATATTATTAATTTAAAGGAAAATTGGCAGTATCTCCCAAATCTCCCAATAATATTTTTAGTACCTTTTTATACTTTTCATTTTATAAAACTGTCACAAAATCTGACTTACAGAACTAATAACAAAAATTATGGATGACAGATTCTTAATCATCTTTTGATTCATACATTTCTTTGAGAACCTTATGAAAAATATATAAATATTCTTGCAGGAAAAATATGCAGTCACACTAAAATTTACATTAAATTTCAAGTACTCATTGATTCCCTGAAGCGTAAGTCTTTACCAATTATCTTTTTCTCTTCTCCCTCTTTATTTATCCTCTCTATCTCTCAGTGCTGTAGGTTGGGAACAATGAAAACTTTTAAAGTAAAATGCCGAGAAATCAAATATTTATTAAGTTTTTATTACAATTTTATTAACAATTTTTAAAATTTATTTTCAAATTATTTTAGTTTATTAATAATTACATGCAGTAATCAGGCATGTCCTTCATAGGAGGCTGAACATTAGAATTTTGTTAATATATTGCATTGCATCAAAAGGACCAAGAACAAAAACAACCAATCAAATCAACAAATACTTGTCACAAATACCTGTTCTGAGAGTGAGAAGAGACATTTTGAGTCATCTGATTTAAAGTAGCACACCATTCAAGGCCAGTGACTCAGGAGTGGTGATGAAAATTTGTATACACATTAACAAAAGTACACAAATGGAGATTTTCAGGTAATCAAATTCTAAATGAGCAAATCCAAGTGCTATATAAGCATGTGGACAGGCAAATAAGCAATATACATTTCTGATTCTTAAAATCCATATACCAAAGAAATTAAAGAATGAAAACTGAGCATTTCTGACATTTAAACAAGAAATGAAATTTTTTTTTTACCAGAAATTGTCAAAAAATGGTGGTGCTGAAAGAATAAGCACATGCCCTTCCCTAAAGAGGTACAAAATTCATCAGAGAAAATACATATAGCAAATACAGAGCCTGCTTCATAGAACACTCAGGAAATATGTATTGAAATAATGATTTCTTTTTTTCTGAACAACATGAATCTGTGAATCCAAAAGCCTCCAACCCAAGTGATAATGTACTGTTCAAAAGGTTCTCTTGACACTTTTTTCCCAGAAATGATATTGCTAAAATTAATAACATTACACAGTAAAACAAAATAATAGAAATCTGTAACTGTCTACTGGACTTTTAAACCATTTATACCCATATATGTATATAAATACATAATATACATATATATATATAATTTTAAATGCAGTGTAGTCAAAACTATGTTTTTTTTAAAAAGTCTGTGACTTTGTTTTATAGTTGCTGTGCTTGCAAAGTAATTCCCTATTTCTATACCATGTTATTGTATGTTCAGTTTTTCATCATATTCGTATGTTTTGTTTTTTGTTTTTAATTTATTTCTTTTGCCACATGATTTTTGATTTTGCAGCATATTTATTCTGAAGCAATGCTTTTAACATATTTTGTATAATTTGTAAAAAGTTGCTATCTTTCACAGTTTAAATTTGGTGGGGATACAGAGGAGAATTTTTTTTCTCGAGTTACTGCTTTCAAACAGACTCTCTTGTAGTTCCTTTTTTTTTTTAACCTCTTGACAATCTTGGGCATATCTTCTATCTTTTCAGTCATTTTCAGGCATTAAAAACTCTATTTCTATCTAAGTCAGTTGAAAACTTCATTCTTATGTCAAATCTAATTTTCCCCTATACCATTTGTTCTCATTCTAGACCCAATCTGTAGCCCCAGAGACCTGCATTGAAGGAAAAGACTTTCTTCTGCTTTATTGTTCCAGCTAAACTTTCTCCCTTTCTTTTCCATATACTTTTTTGTTATTGTTTTGATTTTATTTTTGGCTTTTGCAGGCTCAGGTAAAGAGAATAGAGAACTACATAAAAGAGATCAAAATTGTGCTACCTGGTTGTGCACTGTTGGAGTGTGTATCCATGTGTTCTGAGATACAGGCATCCAAATGCTAATCCACACAAGTATATTCTTTGGGAAACCCTGTTAGAATTCTTCCCCACCAACCACTGCAACTATCATTGCTTCATTACTTAATATTTCTAGAATGTCTTTTCACAAATTGTCTTTAAGTTACCCTATTTTTTGACTTGTTATTGTTCATAGTAGTTGTTTATAATCTTTTTATTTCTGCGGCATCAGTTTTAATATCTTCTCTTTTCATTTCTGATTTTATTTGTTTTCTATTTTTTTCTTAATCTAGTTAAAATTTTGTCAATTTTGCTTCTTTCCTTAAAAAACTCTTGGTTTTGTTGGTATTTTTCTATTGTTTTTCTATTCTCTATTTTGGTTATTTCTGCTTTAATCTTTATGATTCGCTTCTTCTGCTAATTCTGGATTTATTTGTTAAGAAGATTAAAATAATAGCAAGTATCATTTCCAACCACAATAGATTGAAACTATAATAAGAGAAGAAAAATTGGAAAATGTATAGAAGTGGAAATTAAACAATACACTCCTTAACTAATATGTCAAAGGTGAAATTAAAAAAGGAATGTGAAAATCGCTTGAGATAAGTGACAATAAAAACATACCAAAACTTATGGGATGCAGCAAAGTAGTTCTAAGGAAGCAGTTAATAGCAATAAATGCCTATTTTAAAAAGGAAGAAATATCTCAAATACACAACCCAAGTTTATACCTCAAGAAAGATGAATTTTCTTAGTCGCTGTAATTTAGTCCATAGTGTCTTCGATAGGGTTTTGTATCCCAGCACTTAGCTTTCTGGGCAGGACCCTGACATGATGGCCTGTGCTCAATTGTTGTTACTTGTTCACTTGGTTCATAGAAAACTCACCTGTCCATTGTTACCATGTCATATTGTGACAGTGCAAGCTCTGTCTTTCTAGCCTCATGTTTCCCTGATTGTCTTTCCCATCCCCCAATTCAAATAAAAACATGGTGCAGATCAGCCGTTCTTCTGATAGTCAGTTTTCTGTTCATAAGGGCTACTCATCTCTTCTTCTACAGAACCTTATTCTGTACTAGTGGTTCTCTTGGCTTTGCCATCTCTCGGCCTAAGAGAACGACAACAGTTTTCCCTAGGCTGACACAGCATGACTTCTGTAGGTTTTCTATTTCAATAAACCTTCCTTAAATAGTTCTCAAAAAATGATGATGGGTGATGGACTCATGGACTCAGTTCTCGTTTGACCATTTCTTAGTAAATCTTGTAAAATATAGCATTTAACTTTTTGGCACCAAGAACATGAGAAAAGACAGAATTTGTTTATCTCAGTTTTGTAAATGTTCTTACAACTCTAAAACAATACAGAAGATCACCTCAACACATTTTTATATTAATTTTTCAAAAAATACTTTGGTCTGTTTTAGAAGTTTAAATTACTCAGAACACATTTTTTCAAGCTGTCCATCTTTCTGTACATAAGATGGTCATCATTTACTTTTGCAATCTAAACAACCTCTCGGAGTACTGATTTTCTCATGCTCTGGAAGGGATAGCCACAGGCCATATGACAGTGTTCACCTCAAAGCTACCACTGATTGAAGCAAGGTGAATTGATCCATAGGTTAGGCTGAGACCATCAGATTCTTTTTATCTGGGAATTTAAATTAAGAGACAATGAGACAGTCTGATATATGATGTATTGAGCACATGAATAAAAACTTCAGGTAGAATTGGAGCCACAGGTAATGCTAGGATCTTGGATGAGAAAACACTTATAGAAAAAGAGAGCTTAAAATTCACCCAAGGAAGTTATACAAATAATGGAGCTGCCTGATGAGTTTTTAGCTATTGGGAGACCATGCTTTACTTTGTGTGGTTTGTTCTTGTGAGTTCTTTATTCTCACAAAATAGGAAATTCTCTCTTTATTTATATTATTTTAAAAGTTTTCATGTTCCTTGCAAGAAAATAAGGTCTAACAAAAAACCTTTGTGAACTGATCTTATCTGATCTATCACTGTAGAAATAGAGTTTAGTATTGCTTTAAAAAATAAATTTCAGCAAAGTAACCAGGCTACCAGAGTTAAATGTAGGATAGTCAATATTTTCCTGATTTGACAGTGTCATGCAAGTTCTGTTCATGCTGAGGTATCCACATTTTCTATATTCTTTTCTGCCTGCTCAGTCGCTATAAGTAAGGGAATCCTCCATCTCTCATCAGATCACAGATCTTGTAGTGCCACTCTTTCCCTTGTTCTACTGTGTGATCAATTTGTTCCCCCAAGGTACTTGCAGTTTCTGGTGGGACAGGAGTAGTGCCTGAATACCACAGAATCCTTCTAGTAAGTTTTGTTTTTGATGCTTGCTGGAGGCATGGCTTATGTCAATAAGCTCTAGGAGAAATGCCCATGTTTACCTAAGGCTATGGATGTCTCAGTCAAAATAAAACATCCCCCACTTGTAAATTCTGCATCTTTCTATTTATATAAATGCTGAAACTGGAAGTGGCCTTAGAAGTGGCAGAGATTTTATAAGTAGAGACCATAGAAAGCGATCAAAATTGGAGAGGAGAGAAGATTTAATCTTTTATAAATAGACAGATATACACACTTACATATTTAGGAGCAAACAGTGATGTTCCTAAAGGTTGCTAAGTGTGTGGCTAAATGATATCATTTTGATCTTCTCCTGAAAATCCATAGACTATGTTCTTCCTCCCTCTTACTAAGTGCCTGAGACATGAAACTCTAAGATTCCTATCCAACTCAGAATTTTTGAGTGTGTGTGTAATTTGCTTAAAAACTTAGCCTCCATAGAAAAGGTTGAAAAAGGACATGGGAAAATTTAGACAATATTTCAGACATTCTTATAAGGAAGGGGGTATGAACAGAGGGTCAAATTTCATCTCAAACTTGGTAGGATTGTAATTGGTTGAGCAAAGAAAATATTTTGAGGAAAGTATGTTTTGAAAGTGACTGGTATATATATCAAACTCTGGTTTACTTTCAAATGAGCAAGTCATTTGGAGTAAATATAAAGGGAGGTAAGCAGAGGTAATCGCACTCTGAGACCCATTTTCAGGTGACATATTTGAAGTTTTTTGAAAGAGAAGTCTCTGTTACCACTGGAATGGTGGTTGAGTTCAGTAAACCCTTAAACATTTGCTGTCACACTGCTGTGCCAGGCTTTGTGTATATCAATCTAAATAGAATGTTGAAACTTAAGCATTAACCCCTGTCAGCAGAAGGTACACAGATCAAACACTATGAATAGGGTAATGATAGAAAAATATACTAGATTTTAGGATGATGGAAACAGAGGGAAACTTGACCCTGTCTGCAAATCTGGAAAGCATCTGGAGAAGATGTATTAATTTTCTTTTGTTGCTGTAACACATTACTACAAACCTAATGGCTTAAACAACACAAATACATTATCTTACAGTTGCATAGGTCATAGGTCTGATATGGGTCTCACTGAGCTATAATTAAGACACAGGCAAAGCTGCATTTCTTTCTGTATGTTCTGAGTAGTATTCACTTGCTTGACGTTTCCAGGTTTAGAGGTTACCTGTATTTCTTGCCTTATACTCCACTTCTTCATCTTTAAAGGCAGCACCAATAGGTCAATTTCTAACATATCATTATCTTGCCCTAATATTCTGCCTCCCTTTTCCACTTTTAAGGAACTTTATCATTATATTTGGGCTCACCTGAATAATCCAGAATAATCTCCTATCACAAGTTTAACCATGCCTGCAAAGCCCCTTTGCCATTTCAGGATACATATTTACAGGGGGATCAGGATATGGACATCTTCAGGAACCCATTATTCTGCTTACCACAGGAGATACTGGCTGAGCTGAATTTCAAAGCACAAGAGGGTTAATCCGATCAATAGCGTGGCAAAAGGTGATCCAGGCAGAGAGAACTGCATGAAAAAACCATCTTAGTGTGTGCAGAGAACTATCAGTAGTTTACTTCTGCTGTGGCACTGTGCTCCATGCAGAGATTTTGGCACAGCAAACTAGAAGTCCAGTTGTCTTCAGAACACGTTGGCTTAATGATAACAATTACAACCAATAGTATCTGTTTATCACTTACTGTATTCTAATGTTGTGTACTGTATTCTAGGCTTTGTTGTAATCACTTTACATGTATCAATTGTTTTAATCCCCTAAACAGTCCTATAAGGAAAGAGGTTTCATATGCAACACACACACACACACACACACACACACACACACACACACACACATATATATAGAGAGATTATTTATTGCAAGGAATTGGTTTACACCATTGGGAAGTGTGCTAGGCTAGTTCAAATGGTAGAAAAGCTTACCAGGAAGGGCAGGCTCAGTTGTGGTCTAAAGCTATTGTTCATGGCAGAATTTGTTATTCTTCAGAGGGGTCTCTATTCTTCTTTTAAGCCCTCTCAATAGATTGAGTCAGGCCCACTCAGGTTGTCTAGGACAATCTCCTTTACTTAAAGTCAACTGATTATGGGCTATATTAATTTGTGTAATTATGGAAGTATTTTATGGAAGTATTACACAATACCTCCTTAGCAACATTTAGGTTAATGTTTGATTGAATTACTGGGGACCTTAGCCTAGCCAAATTGAGATACCAAAAACACACCCCAAAAACTAAATTGTTCTCCCTACTCTGGTTAATCAAATCTATGTAAATATTTATATTTGAATGAATATATCTTAAAAATTGCTGAGTATATTGTTTCATTCTATTTTGTTTCAAATAAATGTAGAATATTATGCATTTTCAAATATGCTACAAGCCAAGGAATGATGATGCATTATAAATAATGTGAAATCATAACTTTATATATAAATTAGCACTAAATGCCAGACTTTTCTCCTATAACAACAAAACCCAAATAGCTACCCCCGACACCCAAACAGAAATATGAAGTCTGTGTTTTAGGAGAACACGTACGTTATCAAACATGCTGAAATTTTCAGTTTGATATTCAGCTTAGCCTGACACTGCAAATTTAGCCTTGATTTCATCTCTTACATTCTCAAGAAGAGACCATTGGAAGTTCCCAAAGCAAAATGTATAATATGAAAAAAAAAAAAAAAAAAAGAAACCAACAAACCTAGGAAGGCAACACTGTGATTATAATGCAATGCCATTTATGCTCCTATTTGCCATCTTTGCTATCACAAATTGTGCTTTGGAGGACATTTTGATAAGGGAGTAAAGGTTTTGTTTTCTTTTCCTTTTTTTCTTTGAGACAGCCTCTCAATCTGTCATCCAGCTGGAGTGCAGTGTGGCGTGTTCTCGGTTCACTGCAACCTCTGCCTCCTAGGTTCAAGTGATTCTCCTGTCTCAGCCTCCTTACTACCTGGGATTACATGTGCGCCACCACACTCGGCTAATTTTTGTATTTTTAGTAGAGACGGGGTCTCACCATGTTGGCCGGGCTAGTCTCGAACTCCTGGCCTCAACTAACTGATCCACCTGCCTCAGCCTCCCAAAGTGTTGGGATTACAGGCGTGAGCTGCCATCATGCCCAGTCTGATAAGCAAGTAAAGCCTTCTCAAATCTGGGAGAAAACATTCCCAGAATCTCTTACTGGAGGGTGCTTTACTTTGGGAATGTTTGGGGATGAAGGATTTTGGATTATGTTGGGTCTCAAAGCACACATCACTTAACGAATTTGATTGCAAGTAATAAAAACAATCTGGCTAACTTAAGCAAGAGGGACATTTATTGAAAGTATTTTGAGTAATTTCAGGAGAGTGAGCCTTACGAAGGATTGGAGTCAAAAGACTTCAGGGACGCTGGGTAGCAAAAACCAATAAACAAGCTCTGTAGACATTCTTCTATTTCACATACTGGGCTATGTTCCTTGTTTTGCCATCATAATATCTATCTATTATTTTTCAAAGCCCAGTTCACATTGTACTGCCATCATCTGTCTTCATCTCTGCATTTGCACTGAATTAGCTCCAACCATTTTCCTTCTTTATTCATTTGCTATTGCTGTTTACAAGATGACCACAAACTTAACATCTTAAACCAGCATTCATTTAATGTATCACAGGTTTCTAGGTCAAAATTCTAGGCATGGTGTTACTTAATTCTCTGCTCGGGGTCGTAAAAATGCAAAGTAAGGTGTCAACTTTGATTGACAGGTTGAGTTAACATCTTGAAGCTCTGAGGAAGAATCTGCTTTCATGTATATTCAGAATGTTGGGGCTTCAGTTTCCTTGCTAGCTGTCAGCTGGGGACTGCTCTCAGCTCCTAGAGACCACCCACATTTCTTGCCACATGGCCACTTCTACTTCAAATTAGCAGTGACAGATTTATCCTGTGTCAAATCCCTTTAATGCTTTGAATATTTCTGTTAAGAGAAAGCCCAATCCCCTTTAAGGGTGCATTTAATTAGGTAAGGCTCATTGAATTAAGAAAAGGAGTAATCTTTCTAAATTCAACTGACTTGGGGCCTTAATTCTATCTACTAAGTCTCTTGTTAGCAGCACCAAGTCAGTGTTCTATGAGTAACTAGGAAAAGATGTGGGTACAGGAGGGAGTGGGGACTTTGGGAGACCTTCTTTGCACTCTATCTACTATATGTTTTTGCTCCACTTTGCTTAAGCTTCATATTTCAAAGACAGACTCATTTTGCATAGTCTGGTCACAGATTTACCTTTTGGCTTAGGGAAATTGGAGCACCTTGATTACAGTTCTCAACCAACTGATTGCAATGGTAGCAGTTATTCCTTAATGGATAATTAATATTCTTACAGTAAAAATGAAATAAGGATGCCATAGAGGAAAGGAGAAATGACTTTAGAGATCTCCTAGATTTGGGAGACTTTGCTCTATACAGATACAAATTGAAAAGCTTAGTTATCTAAGGTAGGAAAGAAGAGAGGGGCCCAAGGCAGAAGTTCCACTTATTAATAATGCCTATAGCATCTTCTCTGTTGTCTCTCTTAGGTCAGAATCTTAGGATGACAGAATCATAAAATAGATGTAGAAGGAAATAACCAATCAAAGCACAGGAAAGCTCTAAAGATTTACTGTTTCTGTAGAAGTATGCAGGAAGATTTATTTACTGAGATGAATGCAAAAATGGGTTATCAGGGTAAGTAAAATTTTAAAAATGCAGAATGTGAGAAATGCATTCAGCCAGTGTTATAGAAATGTTCCCTAGAGAAAGGAATATTCGTGTTAGTTAGAAAAACTGAACATGCACAGATATAAAATTTGAACAACTTTAATTTAAAACATCATTTAAAATAAAGGTGGCTACTTCCCCTTTGATCTTTGTGCTGCTTGAACAGTTATGAAGCACAGTTCTGGAGTGCTTTCAAGGCAGTCTTAGCTAATAAGATTCACAGTTTATTAAGATTTCTTTATGCCAATAGAAATAGTGGGACAAACAACCTACTGACTGATTTTTCAAAATTACTGATAATTTTCTATACTAATATCCAATTCTAAGTGCTAGACTGTTTATTCTTTCCTCTGGTTAAATAATCAGCCCTTTGGAAAGAAGAATATCAATATTAAGTTGATTGAAGAAAATTTGCCATTAGAGCCTTTGAAGAATTATATAATGAGAGACTATAATCTCTCCCTTTTTGGTGCTGAATAACTTAGAAACATGCATAAAAAGCAATAAGTGAACATTTTATCTTTATTTAATTCACCATAATTCAATAAACTTTTAAATTAAATAACAAAAGTATCTAATTTTATATAAGATATAAAATCTACACAAAAATTAAGTTGAGGATTAAGGTAAATTGGCCATTATTGCATTTTGAAAACAGCCTGGTGAATTAGAAACCAACCTCTAGAATTCATTTCAGTGTATCATTTTGTAGGGAATGTTTGATTGAGTAAAGTTAAAGTACAAATAAAAAAGCTTACAAGACTTAGGAGAAAACCTTACCTACTTAAGTGGAAAAGGACAAGAATTATAGTAAATTCTCATCAGAATTCATACAAGCAAAAAGGGAAGAAGTGAAATAAAGTATTAAATGAAACAAAACACCTATCTAGAATTCCCTTCTAGTGAAATTACCCTTCAAAAATGAAGGAGAAATATACTCTCAAATTCAAGAAAAGTGAAGAAATTCAACACTAGCTGACCTGTCCTGCAAAGCAAAAAATAAAAGCTAAAAAGAAATTCTTTAGTATCTTAGCAAATCTCCCCCTATCCTCTGTTACTCCTTAACTTCAGAGCCAATCCTGTTCTACTTTTTACTTCTGTGAGATCAACCTTCTTTTTCAGTTTCCACATATGGAAGAGAATATATCACATTTAACTTTCTGTTCCTAACTTATTTAACTTAACATAATGTTCTTTAATTCTGTCTATGTTACCACACATGACATAATTTTACTCTTTTTTATGAGTGAATAGTATTCCATTGTGTATATATTCCACATTTTCTTTATTCAAATTTTGTTGGATATATAAGTTGATTCCATATCTTGGCTATTGTGAATAGTGCTGCAGTAAATATGGGGATGCAGATGTCTCTTCAATATACTGGTTTCCTTTCATTTGGATAAATGCCCAGTAGTGGGATTGCTGAATCATATGGTAGTTCTTTTTGTAATTCTTTGAGGAACCTCTATAGTGTTCTCCATAGTGGCTGCTCTAGTTTACATTCCCAGCAACAGTGTGTGAGAGTTCCCTTTTCTCTTCATCCTTTACCTTTTTGTATTTTCGATAATACCCATCCTGACTGGGATGAGATGACAACTCACTGCTGTTTTGATAAGCATTTCTGTGACGATAAGTGATGGTGAGCATTTTTAAAAAGTATATACTTGTTGGCTATTTGTATATCTTGGGAAATATCTGTTGAGATCATTTTCTCATTTTTTAGTTGGATTGTTTTTTACTGTTGAGATATTTGAGTTACTTGTGTATTCTGGATATTAATCCCCAGTTAGACAAATCATTTGCAAATATTTCTCCCATTCTGTAGATAGGAGGAATAAGTTCAAGTGTTCTACAGCACTGTAGATGACTCTAGTTGACAATAATATATTATATACCTTCAAATAGCTAGAAGAAAGATATTGAATGTTCCAAACATGAAGAAATAATAAATGTTTGAAATGATGGATATTCTAATTATTCTCCTCTGATCACTATACATTATATGTATTGAAACATCACTATGTACCCCATAAATATGCATAATTATTATGTGCCAACTTGTAAAAGTTGTAAAAAATTAAGAAGAATTATTTAGGATGAAGAAAAATGATATATATCAGAAACTTGTATCTACAAAAAGAAAGTGCACTAGAAAGAAAATCAATGAAGGTAAAATAATATCTTTATTTTTCTTATTCCTAATTTATCTAAATATATCTACTTCAATAAATAACAGTAGTAGCAAGGAATTGGGTGACTTTAGCACTTTGGTAAATGAAGTGAGTGACAGCAATCTCACAAAGAATGGAAGTGAGAAAATGAGAGTATTCTGTGTTATAAGGCATCTGTACCACATATGGAGTGGTAGAGTGTTATTTGATGGTGGACATAGATTAGTTAAAAAATGTTTAATGTAAATTCTTGTCACAGTGCACCAACAACAATGACAAAACAATTTTTAAGAAGACTGAATTATATGTTATTTATAAGATCTCACTTTAAATATAAAGACAGATATGTTGTAGCTACAGGAATGGAAAAAGATATATCATGCTAACACCAATCAATTGACAATTTGAATGCCTATATTAATTTCAGACAAAGCAGTCTTCAGAATGTTGGGAATCAGAAACCAATACCCCGAAATATGGTACTTTGACATGCTGTATTGAAGAAACTTCAAGTTCTCTCTAACCTGCACCACTCACCTCCTGTCTCTTAATCCTCTGTCTCTCCTAAAGCATAGAATGAAGTTGATCTCTGAAGTTCCCTCTCTGACTAAAGTTTGGAACTGTCAAAGAAAACAATTACTCCTAGCTGTTTCCCTCTTTAGTTAGTTTGCATTAACTAAACTTACAGGAATAAAGACTGAAATCTGCCAACACACAGGGTCATACTTTTGTTACAAACCATTATGTGCTTTGTGGGCCCAACAAACTTTGTCCCAAGCCACTGTATGTTCTTCAAGCCTGTGGAATTGTCCTAAAAATCATTTATATCCCCCCTAAAATAATCCACACTTCCCTATCTCCCTTTTCCCTAAGAAGAAGGATATATAACCATCTGTACTCCATTGTATGCTGGAGCAATCAGCATAAGATTCTGTGATTCTCCTCCATGCATGCTAATAAATTTGTATGCTATTTCTCCTATTAATCTGCCTTTTTTTTCTTTTATTATTATACTTTAAGTTTTAGGGTACATGTGCACATTGTGCAGGTTAGTTACATATGTATACATGTGCCACGCTGGTGCGCTGCACCCACTAACTTGTCATCTAGCATTAGGTATATCTCCCAATGCTATCCCTCCCCCCTCCCCCCACCCTACAACAGTCCCCAGAGTGTGATGTTCCCCTTCCTGTGTCCATGTGATCTCAATGTTCAATTCCCACCTATGAGTGAGAATATGCGGTGTTTGGTTTTTTGTTCTTGCAATAGTTTACTGAGAATGATGATTTCCAATTTCATCCATGTCCCTACAAAGGACATGAACTCATAATTTTTTATGGCTGCATAGTATTCCATGGTGTATATGTGCCACATTTTCTTAATCCAGTCTATCATTGTTGGACATTTGGGTTGGTTCCAAGTCTTTGCTATTGTGAATAGTGCCGCAATAAACATACGTGTGCATGTGTCTTTATAGCAGCATGATTTATAGTCCTTTGGGTATATACCCAGTAATGGGATGGCTGGGTCAAATGGTATTTCTAGTTCTAGATCCCTGAGGAATCGCCACACTGACTTCCACAATGGTTGAACTAGTTTACAGTCCCACCAACAGTGTAAAAGTGTTCCTATTTCTCCACAGCCTCTCCAGCACCTGTTGTTTCCTGACTTTTTAATGATTGCCATTCTAACTGGTGTGAGATGGTATCTCATTGTGGTTTTGATTTGCATTTCTCTGATGGCCAGTGATGGTGAGCATTTTTTCATGTGTTTTTTGGCTGCATAAATGTCTTCTTTTGAGAAGTGTCTGTTCATGTCCTTCGCCAACTTTTTGATGGGGTTGTTTGTTTTTTTCTTGTAAATTTGTTTGAGTTCATTGTAGATTTTGGATATTAGCCCTTTGTCAGATGAGTAGGTTGCAAAAATTTTCTCCCATTTTGTAGGTTGCCTGTTCACTTAATCTGCCTTTTATAAGTTTATTTTTTGGTGAATTTTCTGAGGGTGAAAGGGGAGCCTTCCTCTTTGGCCCTATAGGAACAAGCAAAATTTTCACGGCTAAAGAAGGGCCTTACATCATGATAAAGCATTCATTTCTTCAAGAAGACGTAACAGTCCTAAACTTGAATGCATCCAACATCTGTATGAAAATACGTTAAGGCAAAAATGATAAAACTGAAAGAAGAAAGAGACAGAACTTCTATTATATTTAAAGACTTTAACATTCCTCTGCCAGTAATTGATACATCAAATGGGAAAAAACTCAATAAAAATGTAGATATCTCAAACAGCACAATCAATAAACTTTCTAATAATAAAGATAATTTCTAATAATTAGACAAAGTTCGTAGTTGACATAAAATATTGAACAAAAGAATGCATACTCTTTTGAATTTCCCATGAAAAATTCCCTGGGATATTTTCTATTCTGTGCCATTAAATACACAACACATTAAAATAATAGATGTTACGTAAAGTATATTCTCATACTGCAATAGACTCAAAAATACTAAGCCATTTTGAAATTCTACAACACATTTCTAAATAAATCAAATATCAAAGAAGAGGTTTTAAGAATATTTTTAATGAAAATAAAAGAGAAGAGAAATACAACATTAACGTTTATAAAATGCACATAAAGCAGTGCTTAGAGGAAAATTTATAGCATTAAATATAAATATTTTCTTTAAAAAACCATCTAGTATAAATAATGTTAGTTTTTACCATAGGAAACTAAAGAAAAAGCAGAAACTTAATATGAGGCTGGCAGAAGAAAGAAATAATAAAACTAGAACAAAAAGGAAAGCATGAGGTATGTATCTGTTCCCTGGTAAATCCTTTACTTAAGGAAGAAATCATAGGAATTCTCAATAACCTTTTCCAGAAAATAGAAAGAGAACATACTTAATTTAATTAGGCCAGAAGTATCCTAATTCCAAATACAGATAAAAATATTGTACAAAAAGAAAATTATGATACAGTATCTCTCATGAATATAGAAGCAAAAGTCTTTAACCAAATATTCAGAAGTTGAATCTAGCATTATGTAAAAATAATATAGTTAACTGGGGTTTCTTATAAAAATGCAAAACTGCTTGAAAAATCATAAACCAATATAATTCTATTAACAAAATAAAAGAATAAAATATCAATAGATGCAGAAAAGCATTCAATAAAATTGATTACCATTCATGATAAAATTATAAAAATTAGAAACATGAGAACTTCCTTATCCTAATGAAAGCAATGCCAAAAATCTATAGCTAATATCATCCTCAACTGTGAAATGATTACCATCTACCTTTACAATTGTGAGCATAACAAGGATATTCACTTTTACTAAGCCTACTCAAAACTATACTTGAAGATCTAACCAGTTCAATACAATAAGAAAAAGTAGTAACAACTACCCAGATTAGAAAAATCCCAGATTGCAAAAATATTTCTCAAACTAATAAGCAAGTATACCAAGGTTGTAGGATACATTGTCACTTGCTTTCCTAAAAACCAGCAATGAGCAATTAGAAATTGAAATGAAAAAATAATAATAATAGTAGCAACTCAAAATAAAGTACTTACGCATATCCCAAATAAATGTGTATAGAATCTATATGCAGAAAATGACAAAACAATGATGGAAAAATCAAAGAAGAACTAAATAAATGAAGACATATTCCCATTTTTGGAATTAAAGATTCAATACTGCTTATTTATATTTTTTCCCAACTTGACCTATAGATTCAATACAATCTCAATCAAAATTCCAGCATGCTATTTTGTAGATACAGTCAGACTGATTCTAACATTTAGATAAAGAAACAAACATCCTGTAATAGGCAACTTGGTCATAAAGAAGAACAAAGTTGGAATATTCGTAATACCTGATTTCAAGTCTTACTGAAATGCTATAGTAATTAAGACATTGTGTTATTGGTGAAATAACAGAAATACAGACTAATGGAACAGGACAGACAGGCTGCAAATAAAGTCATACTAAATAATAAACTAATTTCTGATGGGTGCACAATGGCAGAGAAATGGTAGTCTTCATAAATAATTGATGCTGGAACAATTGGAGATCCGTATGCATAACAAAAGACCTAGACCTAGACCTTACATCTTATACAAATCTTGGCTTAATGTGGATCATAGACTTAAATGTAAAATGCGAAAGTGTTAAACTTCAAGCAAAACACAAAACTAGGAGAAAATCTAAGTAACTTGGGATTAATAAGTGTTTAGATATAATACCAACTGCATGATATTGAAAAAAATTAATAAATCAGATGTTATTAAATTGATAAACTTCTGCTCAGCAAAAGCCACTGTTAAGAGAAAGAAAAAACAAGTCACAGACTTTTGGCTTTTGCCATTTGTCCTTAGGAAAATACAAATTAACACAACAATGAGATAATAATACTCACTAATTAGAAGGACTAAATGTTTTTTAAAACCTGATAATATCAAGGGCTGATGAAGATGTGGAACAACAGGAACTCTTATTTATGCTGGTGGCATAGCCATTTTGTAAGACAGTTTGGCAGTTTCTTACCAAGCTAAAGGTAGTCTTACCATGTAGATAATAAAATATCATTTTATTATATTTAATACAAAATTTATTAAATTTTATTATATGACAATAAAATATAAATATTATATTATAAAAGGGAATTAGTTACCAAATCACAGAAAATATTGATGAATGCATATTGCTAAGTGAAAAAAAACCTAGTCTAAAAATATTATAGACTGTATTATTCCATTTATATGATGTTCTGAACAGGCAAAACTATACAGAAAGTAAGTAAATCAGTAATTAAAAGGCATTTGGGACATAGGAGTCAAATAAAAGGATACCCGTGAATAAAGGTGAAACAATTTCAGCAACAGAACGAACTTCTGTTGGATTGTAACAATCCAATGCATAAAAGAGATAGAATCAGCTGCTTTCTCAAACAATGCCTTCATCAAAACCTATAAAACTGTCAGTCTTTCAAATAACTGTCCATCACAAGAGGTCATGCTAGGACCAGTTTCCAGGACTTTCTAGTCTGTCTCAAACTGCTGTAAATAATGAGATATGCCTGGTTGAATCTAGAGACATAATCACATAGTTGTTATTGTTGTTTTATGGTTTTTCCACATCTTGTTTTCAGAGAAACATTGGCACAAATTTGAGATGTTTTTATTCCAGTTGACAGATTTTATAAAAATATAAATTCTACACATGGACTAACTCCGACGATTCATCTTCCCAGAATTACGAAGTGAATCATTGTTTTCAGACAAGTAAATTGAGAGATGCAGTTTCTCTCTTGTCGATCTTGTTTTTCAGAGCAATACTAGATGAAAAACACTCGCCGTTTTCTAAAATGTCTAATGTGATGGAAATTTGACAATCAATACAGAAAAGATATGGCTATGTAGAGGCAGACATAAAGGAGATATCTTATAATGTATCAATATACTAATATTTACTTCTCATTAAAAGACAGTGGAACATATTAAGGAGAAAGAGTGAAGATGAAAGAAAAGGAGGAAGACACTATAGAGCTTCTTGTTTAAATATTATCACTCATGAATGCCATTTATACAATTCTTTCCATTACTGTGAGCATCCCTAGGCTGAAAGGCTAAAATTTCCATTTTTTTCTAGATTACCTTGAGTCTCGTTGAGTTTTGTTTTTTTTTTCTGCTATGTTTCATCAGAATATAGGATACATGTAATCACAATGTTTTTTTGCAATTCATCCTATTCAAGAAGAAAATAATGGTAGAACTGAAATTAATTATAAATAATATCTGTGTATTATATATATGCATATGTATAATATAGTCTATTATAGACATTATATAAGGAAGATACCCAGGTATAATCTTATTATTTGTGTAATTTAATAGAAACTATGTGAGCAATGTATATCTATGTGCCTCATTAGTGTTGTTTGGTGAACAAATGCGGTAGAATAGATTATTGTTCAGCTGATAATTATTTCTTCCTCTTAACCTTCATGGAAGATTTATGCTTCTGTGCCCCATTAACATTTGTAGTTGGCCATATTATTTTCTTTGGCCAATGAAATATGGACTTTAAGAGACCATATTTTTTTTTTATTTGATCATCTGGGAACTTTTGACTTCTGTTATGAGAATAACAGGCCACAGATAGCTGTTGCCCCTCTTGCCTGAACCCCGGAATGAGATATGCAACACAGTGGACCCCCAAACCCATAGATTAGTAGCCTAAAGTGGAGCCACCACAGCCGACTTGTAGACCTACAGCTAAACCAGAGCAGCCTCAGTTGATCCACAGGCCTGTGTATACGAGAATAAATGTTGTTTGCTGTATGTCACTGACTTTTGAGATGGCTTTTAATGAAACATTATTATGTCTATAGCTGTCAAACAGAATTAGTACCTAGAATTGGGGTGCTGCCGTAATATAATCCTAAAATATGTGGCAAAAGCTTGGTAAACAGTAGGGGCACTATCATAAGAGATGAAGAAATAGTGGTGAATTTTTAAATAGGCTAGAAGAATGGAAAAATATTTAGTGAAATTTCCATTCATAAACATCCTGGAAGGCAGATAAAATGTGTACATTAAGGCCTGTGGGTGAAGAAATTTCAAGGGAAAAGCTAAAAAGGTGAGTTGGTACCATAAAAGACAGATGAGCCTGAGGATGAACTGCCTGGAGCACAAGTTAAATTGAGAGGGAAAGTAGAAAGCCCTGAAATTCTGGGACTTTTAAGATTGGGAAAAGAAAATCTCAACAAATTTAAGGTGGTAATTTCAATACAGCCTCAGGAAAAGACCACATCTGGAACACTGCCAATAAGACATGGACTCAGGAAACAGAACGATTTAAGTTGTCACTCAGCCAGGATAAAAAGTAACTCGTAAAATGTTTAGGGGTGTACAGGAGGATGATGGAAAAGTGAGGACATAGCAGAGTACAGAGCCATATCCGCGAGGAACTATGAACTAAGGTGAAAGAATATTTTTTTTTCCCAGAACAGGGGGATGTGGAAGCTTGTGCCCAGAGAAATTTCAGTGTTGCTATGAACCACAGATTGCTATGTGCTTCTTCCCCTTTTTGAATGGAAGAGTTTATCATATTGTTTTCTGTCTCTGTTACACCCTTATGTGTTGAATATGTGTCTTAGTTTTTGATTTCTTGTTCAAGAGGATCTACCTCCAGACTCAATGTACTTTGAATATTATATAGTGTGCTTTGATCCTGGACTTTGAACCTGAGAAAAAGATTGGATGACACTTTCAGAGATCTTAAAATGAGAGAATATTTTTTTATGTAGCAGAGATGTGAATGTGTGACCAATAGAGAAAAGAATGGTGAAGTTTCATTGTTGGCTCTAATTTTGTATTCTGCTGTAGTACCATTATATATTCATATCTTTTTTAGCTTTGGCCATTTGTCTTGACTTAGCCAATGTGATGTTAGCAGACATAATGAAAGTAAAGCCTCAGAACATGTTTGCATGATTGAATGAGAGACACATATAAAAGGCCTGAAAACAGCTTATGGACTGTATTCATGACTAGCTAACTCAGCTAGATGAGCTGACCTACATATGTGTGAGCAAGAAAAAATACTTAGTATTATATGCCAGAGTTTGAAAATGATTCATTATGCAGCATTATCCTGACAATAGCTGACTGAAACAATAATCAACAGGATCAGTTATTTTAGAACCATTTGATAAGTCTTTGACATCTAAACCAGTATAGAAAGTACTATGATAATTTGTGGTAATTACCACATAGGCTATTAATTTTTAAAAATATATGGCTAAATACAATTATGAAATAAACATGATGAAGTAGCATAAATCAGAGGGCATTTGTGTTATATCAGATTTCGGAAGATTTGAAAAGAAGATATATGTACGATATTCAGAATATTTATTCTGATCAAGAGAATAAAGACCCAATTGAGTATGTTGTGGATTCATTATAGGAAATATAGAAAACAAATCAATATTAAAAAAGAACTAGGAGAAATAATTTATATTTTTTCTGGATAAAATATTATTGGTGCATTTATAATAGTCTTATGAATACTGCTGAGAATTTAACGGTATTTCTTGAGAAATGATTGTTTCAATTTGAACAATTTCATTTGAGTTTGACTATTGATAACTCACTTCATTATTTAATGTCTGCCTATAAATACCATAAAGAGTAAGACTTCATTTTATAACACAGAAACACGGCTCCTTTCTTTGATTAGGTCGGATATAACTTATCAAATTTGAAATAAATGCCTCCTGATGTGGTGAGTTCTCTGTCATTGGATATGAGCAAACAGTCTTTAGGTGACCTTTTATTGTGAATATTGTAGAGTAGTGTTTTGCATTATTACATATAAGTGTTTATGAGTCTTTTCAAAACCAAGCTCATAAAAAAATTCCATGAACTCAATCCATGCATGTTTCAGAAATATTTAAATTAATTTTGGTAGTATTGTATTGCATGACCTATAGCTTCACTGTAGAGAATCTTATTTTTTTCTTAATAACTTATCTAGAGATGAAGTGCCATTTTGCAAAAATTACCTGAAAGTCAGATTACAAGGCTATTTTATTTTTTGTTTAGTATTTTTTGGGCAATTAAGCTGAGCACGGAGGCTACAAAATAAGCAGCACCTCTTTTACTTCAAGTACCTCACAGTTTAGTGGGAAAATAGATATGCATGAATAACCAGTGGTGAGAACTGGATGGCTGGGAGACAAGTTCTCTGCTTACCCTTTTGGGCCTTTTCAACTGTAAATTTTGTCTATCCACATTTTGTGTGGAAAAGGACCTAATCAACATAATAGATATTGGGTCTCCTCCTGTACCAACTTGTATCACAGACTTATAATCTGACTTGTGATATGTTTTCCATATTTCAGATCTCACCCTTGTTTGTACTTTTTGAATAGAGATTTTGTTTCTCTAGTTTGCTTATGTCCATGGCTCTGACACTCTGCTTTCCCATTTTCTCATTCATTGGCTAGTAAACTGATTTCACAATTTATCATCCAACTGCTTCTTTCTATGGTGTATACTAACCCTGGCTGAAGTGCATGCTATAGTATGTCACCCATGTTCATTCTTCAGAGTAAGGCAATCTGTCACCTGCCATAATGTTACTTATCGATTGTTCGCATCTGAGTCCCCTTTCTCTGACTAAATCTTGGATTAAGGGTGCACCTTTTCCAAGGCTTTTTCTCTTCTCTTGGGGCAAGCTGAATACAAAGATTAATCAGGGGATGGTGATAAAAGCCTGATTCCTGTGCCATAATTCAGGAGAATTCTAAAAGATCATCCCACCTCAAAAAAATTGCTGATGGTTTTGTTGCAACTGCTTTCCATTTCAACTTCTTCCTCTGCCCAACCCTGCTTGCTTCATTCTCTCACAAGCTTGATTGCCATAAGTATGCTCCACTTAACTTTCTGCGCATGAATCTCCACGTTGGCACCTATTTCCTGGGGAACCTGAGCTGTGGCAGTTGGCAACAGAGGGGCCCAGGAAAGTTGACTCCCAAGTGGGATTTGGGGTGGATTAACCACCTCTGAGCTGTCAATAAAGATGATGGCTGGTGGAGTTTCGATAGCACCTGGAATTCTAAAGCAGATTAAATGTTAAAACTTTCACTAGTGATGAACTAGAATGGAATACCAGTGGAAAAGACTGCCTTGTGTATGCAGTTATCTTAGGTATTTGAGCAGTTCAGGGAATGTAGAAATTGAAAAATATTTAATTTCTTTAATTGGAAACATTAAAGCATTAATGGAAGCATTAAAGAGACTCTCATTTACTACAGCTGGAAGGCAGAATAATCTTTGGTCCATGTACTGAATTATAGGAGTAGGGGAACTTCAGAGAAAGTGAAAAGGTAAGTTTTCAGTTCAGCAGGTCTGCTATGCCATAGTAAAAGCCCTGGTTAGGAAGGAATGGAAGCCTAAGAGTGGGAACAGGGATAGCTGGGTCAACACAATTGAGAGCCATAAAGTTCTGGATTCTTCTGAGTTATCTGGGTCTGCAGAAATATACTGCTTCCAACTGCAAAGGCTAGCATTTTTCCCTTGTTTGCAAAGGATGTGAGAACCTTTGCCTCTGGAGTTAACAGGGCCTCTTACCCCAGGACGTATTTCCATCTCCCCTCTTGGCCACTAGACCAAAAAATAGGATCAAGTTACAACGTAACCTATCTGATTAAAACATTCTTTTTATTTCAAATGAGTTTGACAATCCTTGTTCTAAGTACTAGATCAGCTTTGAGAGAAGAAGGGGTGGTCAGTTCTGCTAATATGTAACAATAGAAACCCCTAGCCTGAATCTGTACATGAAATGGAATCCTAAGGGTGATAGGTTGGAGGAGGGTGAGCAGAGAACCTTAAGATGATATGGATTTTAGCATGCTGACACAGGTCCTAGGAAATGGTGTTAACTCTGCTAGTATGGCTGGTGGAAGCTTGGAAAAAGTGATGGCTTACATTTTGCCAAGTAAAAATACCAGCTCAGCTATGGCTGATGGAAGTTGAAGGGAAACTAAATATACTAAAGTAAATATACCTAAAACAACTGTAAGATTCATCAGCTAATTAATTACATTCTGTAGAAATGACCAGGAGTTACTCAATGTACCAAATCACTAAGGAATGCACTGGTGAAAGGGGCACCAGCCTCAATAAGAAACTCAGAATGACTGTATTCTTTAGACAAGGGCTGATAGTAGGCATTCACAGAAGTAGCTTCCAGAGGTAACTGCGTCTTGTGGAGTGGTAAATGATTTGGCTTATTGGCCAGGGTCTTGTTAGATAAAGACTGGAAAAATGATGAGAAAGTAGTTTGGGGAAAGATCATGTGGATCCACCCATAGGAGTGGAAGAAATATTTTAAAATCACATTTATACCCATCAGAGACTTTACCACATAAGAGGCACTAAACAACCCAGTAGAGAGCATTTGATGTCATCCAGACTCTATCATCAGCCATCACAGGGCTGGTACAATGGTCCATGAATCTTGGAGGCCAGGCCTCCTACTCACCATGTCTGATATAGCTACTACTAATGCTGAATATACAACTTGCTGTTAATAGAGGCCAGTGCTGAGCCCCACTATAGCACCATTTTTCTTTCAGAGAAGAGCACCCACTTTGAAACAAATTGATTTCATTGTATTTTTCCCATCTTGGAAGCAGAAGTAATCCATCTTGATTGTAATTTACACACATTCTAGGTATTAGTTTTCCTTTATGCCTGCAGGGCCTTAGTCACCCAGCTTTCCAAGGGCTTACAAAGAGTGTGATCCATCCACATGGTATCCTACATAACTTTGAATTAACCCAACATATCCAATTTACTTCTAAGGAGGTGTGGCTGTCAACATATGACTATATCTCATACATGATTGTATCTAATATCACACCACCCAGAATTGCTGGCCTAATAAATATTTGGAATGGCTTTTTGATGACACATCAAATTCACCCTCTTGGAGATGATAGTCTGTGAGAACTGAGTACTGTGCTCCAGAATGCAATGCCTATTATGTGGCTCTGTGTCCTGATTGGGTAAAATACTTGGGTCTGACAACTAAAGGGTAAGAGGAGTGGCCCAATTTTAGATTCAATAGTATTTGTAAGTTATTATACTTAACATCATTCACTGTGTCTTGAAAATTCAAATTTAATTGGAATCCTGTATTTTTATTCAATAAATCTGAAAATCCTGTGAAGCCTCTGTTGCCGGCAACAGCTTTGCAGTTCAGCTTCACCCTCTGCCTAATCCTGCTTTATTCACTCTCTCACAGGTGTCATTCACATGATCTCTCCTAAACAACTTTCTTACTATAGATCGTCATATCAGAGTCTGTTTTCCTGAAAATTTGACATCAACTTTTCCTAATGTTTTTATACTTCTGCCAACCTACTTTTGGTTCACTGACTCCCTCCCCAGCAGAATACCAATACACAGTTACCTTCTTTTGTCTGTGTTACAATCCCACACCAAGAAGGAGTGTTCTTTTTTCCTTTTACATTATAATCACACAGCACTTTTATAAGCAAAGAGCTGCCCAACTTGTGCATAACCACATATAAGGATAAGGCAGACAGGATTTAAGGAAAATATAAGCTATTAGAGCTTATATTTAATATTTATTGGTAAAGTTTCATTGTAATTCTAACCAGTGTGGACCATATACACTGTCACAGAATTTCAGAGCTGGAAGAAATCTCTTTGTTACTTAATGTAAATCTCTTGTTTTGTATATCTCTTGAAGGATTGTCTTGGCAACCTATTTTCAAGGCAATGCAAATGCTTTTATTGAAAATGAAAATATTAAACCCTGACTAAACAACAAAGAAAGGTATTATTTTGATCATTTTAAAAAACCTTTGAAAACAAGAATCTTCAAACTTATTTGAAATAAAAAGAGTATTTTAAAAATCAAAGCAGTCTGAAACAGTGAAATAGGCAAATTCAGACTGCTGTGTAAAAGAGGTGTTTTGTAGTAAGCCCACAGGCTGTATAATGGCATCCATAATCGCTGCTACATAAAGAATATTTGGGCATTTACATTTATAGTTTAGATTCAGTTTTTCTACTTAACTAAAGGTTAAATGGTATACAGAGATCACCTCACCAAAATGTCTCAGATATATTGAGAAATAATAATAAGTGAAGAAACAGGTAGAAGGTTTTCATACTGTGATGAAAAAAAAAGTTCATTATATTCAGCAAATATTTTGTAACATTAATGTGTTTCATTCACTGGGCTTCCTTAAAGTGCTGCAACTGTCTCCCAAGTCCAATGAGGATGTGTTTGGGTCTATTTCATATAAAAGAAATGTCTTGCTTCATACCTAATGTTTATAGTTTGGGCTTTTGAATTAGTAAAATTAATCACTTTATAATTTATACCATACTCCTCACTGTGCTCTGCTGATATTCTTAGTACACTCTTCCCCCAATTATATGCCTGTTTCACTCTTCATTTTTACGTGCAGTTACATCTCATCTTCTGACTGAGACTTCTTCCAACTCTTATTTGGGTCTTCTTTATTCTCCCTTCCTTTGATATCACTCAGCATAACAATTCTAGCTCATCTGAACACCATTGGGAGTTTTTTCTTTGTCTAGTTCCTTCATAAAACCCACCACCTCTTTGGTTCTGCCCTTATAGTGAAGGCAAAGTTAGTTTAAGTTTCCGACAATTAAGTGGCAAAGTTAATTACAAGTATGCTAATTAGCATGTGTGAGTTGTTCAATAACATCTGTTTTCAGAATAATTATAGATGGACATAATTAATTTTTTTGCAAGTTGAATTACCATTTCAGCACAGACTGGAATTGTGTTAAGTATAGTGTGACAAGAACAAAAGTAGAATGACAAAAAATCAGAATGGAAGACATACATTTTCCTTAACAAACCATGTGGTTTTCCTTAACAAAGCACCCCTCTCACGTATACACTTAATTTAAAAAATATGTGAATTTCTGACAACATGACAGACTAGATAAAAAAAAAGTAATATATACAATATTAAAACATCTCTTTAAATTTATCGCTGAGAATATACCTTAACAGAATAAAGGCTATATATGACAAACCTGCAGCTATCATACTCAATGGAAGAAAATTGAAAGCTTTCCCTCTAAGATCCAAAACTACACAAGGATATTCACTCTTACCACTTCTACTGACCACAGTATTGGCAGTCCTAGCCAGAGCAATTACACAAGAAAAATAAATAAAAAGGCATCTGAATCAGAAAGGATAAAGTTAAATTGTCTATGATTGCAAATGACATAATTTTATACATAGAAATTCCTAAAAACTTCTGAGAACTAATAAACAAATTTAGTTAAGTTGCAGAATAAAAAATTAGTAGTGTTCCTATACGTGAACATCAAACTATATAAAAATGAAATAAAATAGTTTCATTTATAATAGGGAAACAATCCCATTTATAATAAGTATACAATTCCATTTATACTACAACAAATACTTAGGAATAAATGTAACCAAGAAGGTTAATCATATGTACACTGAAAACTAGAAAGCACTCATGAAAGAAATTAAAGAAGATACAAATAAATTGAAAGATATTCTATTTATGAATTAGAAGATTTAATATTGTTAAAATGACTGTACTGTTCAGAGCAATCTACAAATTTAATGCAATCCCTATTAAAATACCAATGACATTTTTCACAGAAATAGAAAAATGTCCTAAAATTTGTATGGAACCACAAAAGATTTGAAAATGCAAAAACAGTTTTGAACGAGAATAGCAAAGCTAGAGGCACCACATTACCTAACTTCAAAATATACTATAAAGCAATAGTAACCAAAACAGCCTGGTACTATTATAAAAATAGACATGTAGACCAATGGAACAAAATAGAGAGCCCAGAAATGAACCTACACTTTTATAGCCATATAATTTTTAACAAAGATGCCAGGAACACAAAGTAGAGAAAGAATGGTCTCTTCAATAAATGGTGCTGGAAAAACTGAACATCTACATACAGAAGAATGAAATTAGACCCATATCTTATATCATATACAAAAATCAACTCAATGTAGATTAAAGACTTTAAGTGCAGAACCTGAAACTATAAAACTACTAGAAGAAAACATATTGGAAAAGCTTCATGACATAAGTCTAAGCAATTTTTTTATATGACCACAAAAACACAGGTGACAAAACCAACAATGGGTGAATGGAATTACATCAAATTAAAAATTTCTGCACAGCAAAGGAAACAACAGACTCAAGAGAGAAACTACAGAATAGGAGAAAATATATGCCAACTATACCTCAGATAAAGGGTTCATATACAAACTATACAATCAACTCAAACAACTCAATAGCAATAAAACAAATAACCTGATTTAAAAATGAGCAAAGATCTGAATAGGTGTTTCTGAAAATAACACATACAAATGGCTAATATTTTCAATGGTATATGAAAAATATGTTCAACGTTATTATTTGTCAGGGAATTGCAAATCAAAATAATGAGACGTCACCACATACCTGTCAGAGTGGTTATTATAAAAAAAGACAAAAGATAACAAGTGTTGGTGAGGACGTAGAGGAAAGTTAACCCTAGCACACTGTGGGTAGGAGTGTAAATTAGTGCAGCCATCATGGAAAACAATATGAAGTTCCTTAAAAAAACAAAAATAGATTTATATGATTCAGCAATTCCACTACTGGATATATAGCCAAGGAAAATGAAATAAGTGTGTTAAAGGAACATCTGCATTTCCATATTTATTGCAGCACTATTCATAACAGGCATGATATGGAATCAGTCCAAGCATCCATCAGTGGAAGAATGAATAAAGAAAATGCAGTGCATTTCTTTATAAGGCAAACAATGGGATACTATTCAGCCACGAAGAATGAAATCTTGTAATTTGCAACAACGTCTATTAACCTGGAGGACATTATCTTAAGTGAAACAAACCAGGAACAGAAAGACAACTACAACATGATCTCACTTAAGTTAAATCTAAAAAATTTTGATCTCATAGAAATGGACTACAATGGTGATTACCATGGGCTGAGGAAGTTGGGAGAGAAAGGGGAGCTGTTGATTAAAAGATACACAATAACAGTTACATAGGAAAAATAAGTTCAAGAGGTCTCACTAATACAACATAATTACTACAGTTAATGATGACATATTGTATTCTTAAAAATGCTGATAAAGTGGATGTGTTCTCACTGCAAAATATTAACTATGTGAGGTAATGCATATATTAATAGGTAGATTTAACCAATCTACAATTGATATATACTTCAAAATATCATGCTATACATGATAAATACATACAATTATATCATCTATTTAAATAAATAAAATTGAAAAAATTAAAAATACAAAAATATAAATACAAATAAGTTGGTAGAAAAAATAAATTTATAGCTCAACTATAAAGAGGACCAAAAAAGTCAAAAACCACAAAAAGTACAAACTTGAAAAATGTACTAATTGCTGATATCAACATCTGCCCTAAGAATATCTGACTACAGTCCTGAGCCTTTGGCTTTTAATAGGCCTTGTGAGCAGTAGAGTTCGCAATGCCCAGAGCCTGCACCATATGGGAAGTCAGATAAAATTGCTTACATAAACCTGAGACTCTGAAAGATAACAAATTTGGAGAAGAGATGAGCTAGAAAAACACTCTCCTGCCCAGAGTGACACAATATGGAAACTTCCCTGTCACAGCCTTTGCTCTGCATAGAAATGGAAAAAAATCTACTAGATAAATTCTCTATGAAAAACTGGCACACACATATTTTTTGTCCAGGATTTACATTACCTAGGCGACCCAAAAATAAATTTAAAGTGATTCATGTCAGTTGTATCCCAGGCACTTGATAGAAGTAAATAAATAGTCTCTGCAGAAGCACATCTTAAATAGGTCTCAAAGGATTTCTTTAAATATGTATCCAAAATTCATGAGTTAATTTTAACTTACACTGCTAGCCACAATGAAGTAATCAGTGTTGAATCTACACTTTCACACTAAACAATTATAAAGCTGGCACTTATCATCAAGATTTTTATAGTCCATAGAGTATACGAATTAAATAGGTTTCTTTGCGTAATGAAGTCTGAACAAGACACATTCTTATTTAGATGTGGCTTATGTCACATTAGCAGTATTATATAATAAAATTAATAGAAATAGTGAAATAATAAGATATTTAAGCCATTATTTGAGAACATATTTAATATCTGTATCCCATTAGATTATGATATCCATACATGTATATGAGGGATTTTTTATCATTAAATCTTCAGAACCTAGCATGTGGCAAGGTAATCAGTAATATTTGTCGAATGAATGAGTGAACATAATATGTGTATTTGTCAGCAGAAATTTGACTGGGGTGTGGTAGTACAGTCTCCAAACCTCGCTGACTTAGAAAGAAAACTTTATTTGTTTTTGCATGGTGAGTCCACTGATGGTTTGTGTAACTCTCAGGGACAGTTTTCTTTCATGCATTTATTCAGAAATCCAGGTTGTTTAGGTATTACAGATCTATCAGCTCAAATTCGAGATCTTCCCTCTGATTAATATAGCAGGGGAAATGAAAAACAGAATTGTGTGAGGGCTTTTTATTGCCATAGCCCGGAAGAAACACATGCTACTTCATATTATATTTATTAGTCAGAACTAGTCACATGTTTCTTTTTAATTGCAAGGAGGCCTGAGAAATATAGGAATAGAAATTAAGTAGCTAGTTGGCATGATTGCTTCTTTATCCATATTTATTCAATAAAAATTAATCAAATGAACAAGTGAATGAATGAATAAAGATAGACTAATTGAAACATATGTTTATAACTCAGCCTAGTCTCTGGCAACCAATGCCTACTACCTCCAGATCTTCTATTTAATTAGTATAATTAGATAGAATTTTTAAGGTTGGTTTCTAGGTAATGCAATCTTACATTTTTCTAGGTTCTAAAGTTTTAATTCCTTTTCACTTTACAACTGCATAATGATACTGACATCTTTCATCAGTAGGTAAGTGTCTTTAAAGACACTTAATCATCTGCTTTAAAGATGCTCACTTTAATCCTTATACATTCAAAGTCCATTATGAAATGTAGTAACTTAGGAACCAAATAGCATATGGACTTCTTTGATGGCCACATTTATAAGAAAAAGTCTGCTCTATAATTTCATCCTTCATCTTTCCGAACAATTTAAAAGGAGACTTTGAAACTTCACTTTTTAAAGCCTTTAATTATAAGCCAATTTGCTTTCCTAGATAGAAAGTGCCTGAAATATATATTCCTTTAATAATTACATTTTTAATGAAATGAAGCGTGTTTCATAAGAAAAAAATATTACAGAAAAGAGAAAAGAGCAGGTAAGAATTGTGTGTGTAAAATTTAAAAAAAAAATGTTAATTGGGCTGCTAGAATCAAAGTTAAGTCAGACCTTTATATATTAATGAAAAGATAATTACAACTTTTTTGTTATTATACTTGGCATATTAGGAAAGATGTATCCAGTATTCCAACTCTGGGGTCTCTGAAATTTCATAATTTCTTAAAGGTAATAATGGTTATATTCAGTATTTAAAAAAATAATGGATATTATCACTGTTTCCCAAAGTTATTCAAGCTAAATAAATACAATTACTTGATTTGGAATGTATTTAGTCAGTGTAATGATATTGGTCATTTTATGCTGAGGCAAACAGGGTAGTGGATGAACCATACTGACTAGATTTCAAATCCTCGTTCATTTACTAACTGAATTATAATCAGGGTACTTGAGCAAATTAATTTTTCTTATTTCCAATTTTCTCATCTATAAAATGAAAGTCCTAACAATCATACACCATAGTTTGGGGATTAATAAGATAACTCAATTAAGGTAGACCAAAAATATAGTTTTTTCAAAACTAAAAGTGTATTGTGAAACTGTGGAGAACAAAAGAAGGCAGAACATGAAATATGCCATAGTCCTGTGGTTTTCCAGAAAAGACCCTTTAAGAGAAAACAATAATAAAAGCAAGAGAAATTTTGCCTTGTTTGTTGAGGTTTTTAGATGTCATTGGGCATATCATGTACAAGTAAATATTATGTTAATAACCTGGAAAAGAATTACTTGTAGGGGTAGCCTGACACTAGTGGGTGCTCAATAGTCTTTTTATTTTCTGAACAATTTGCTTAATGCTTGGTTTTATGATTTATGGTGCTGTACTTAATAGGTGTATTTTGTTTAATTATATATGTAAGAGGTGTGTGATGTAACTCAGTTCATAAACAATGAAACTGACTATAGATGGACCTCATTTTTGTTTCACTCCCACCCACTGCCCTGCAGGATGCCTAAGGAGGACATGGTGAAGAGCACAGTGCTTGTAGAGAGAAGAATCTTCATTTAGTGGATCTATGACAAAGGTCAGGAAAAGGAACTTCAAAGGTGGTTATATTGTATCCTAGGCCTGCCATAAGAAAGTTCCACAATCTGGATAGCTTAGAAAAACAGAAATTTTCAGTTTTTCAAGAAATCTCCATACCGATTTCCATAGCGGTTGTACTAATTTACATTCCTGTCTCCCAGAAATGGGAATGCTACAGTAAGCATTCCCATTTCTCCACATCTTCACCAAAATCTGTTGTTGCCTTTAGACAATCTGTTGTATGCCTTTGTATGCCATAGATTGCCTTTTTATTCTGCTGATACTTTTGCCGGGCAGAAGCTCTTTAGTTTAATTAAGTCCCATTTGTCAATTTTTGTTGCAATTATTTTTGAGGACTTAGCCATAAACTCTATACCAAAACCAACGTCGAGAAGGATTATTTCTAGGTTTTCTTCTAGAAATTTTATAATTTGAGGTCCTACATTTAAATTATTGGTCTATTTTGAGTTAATATTTGTACATGTTGAAAAGGTAGGGGTCCATTTTTATTCTCTTGCATATGGCTAGTCAGTTATCCAGCATTACTTATTAAATTGAGTGTTTTTATCAACTTTTTAAAATATTAGATGGTTATAGGTAAGCAGCTTTATTTCTGAGTTCCCTATTCTGTTCCATTGATCTATGTATTTGCTTTTGTACCAGTACCATCCTGTTTTGGTTACTGTAACCTTATAATATAGTTTAAAGTTGGGTAATGTGATGCCTCCAGCTTTGTTATTTTTTCATAGGATTGCTTTGGCTATTCACATTCTTTTTGGTTCCATATGAATTTTAGAACTTTTTTTTGTTTTGTTGAAAACATGACGTTAGTATTTTGATAAAAATAGTGTTGAATTTATACAGTGCTTTGAGCAGTATAGCCATTTTAACAATATTGATTCTTCTAGGTCATGATTTATTTTTGCATTTGTTTGTGTCATCTCTGTCCTTCAGTAGTGTTTTGTAGTTTTCCTTGAAGAGATTTTTCACCTCCTTGGTTAGATGTATTCCTAGATATTTCATGTGTGTGTGTGTGTGTGTGTGTGTGTCATAAATAGAGTTGCATTCTTGATTTGGCTCTCAGCTAGAATATTATTGGTGTATAGAAATGTTACTTATTTGTATATATTGATTTTATATCCTGAAATTTTACTGAAGTCATTTATCTGTTCTAGGAGCCTTTTGGCAGAATCTTTAGGGTTGTCTAGGTTTAGAATAATACAGCCAGCAAAGAGAGATGGTTTGACTTCTTTTCCTATTTGGATGACTTTCATTTCTTTCTCTTGCCTGATTGCTCTGGCTAGATCTTCTGGTACTATGTTGAACGGGAGGGAAGAGAGTGGGCATCCTCCTCTTGTTCCAGTTCTCAAGAAGAATGCGTCTAGCTTTTGACCATTCAGTACGATGTTGGCTGTGGGTTTGTCATAGATGGCTCTTACTATTTTGCAGTATGTTCTCTTGATGCCTAGTGTGTTGAAATTTTTAATCAGGAAGGGATGTTGAATTTTATTGAAGGCTTTCTCTGCATATATTGAGAGGATCGTATTGTTATTGTCTGTGACTTTGTTTATGGGGTAAATCACATTTATTGATTTGCTTATGTTGAGCAAACCTTATATCCTAGGAATAGAGCCTAGTTGATCATGATGAATTAACTTTTTATGTGCTGCTAGATTATGTTCGCTAGTATTTTATTCAGGATTTTTGTGTCTATGTTCAGCAGGAATATTGCCATGAAGTTCTCTCTTTACATTGTGCCTCTGCCAGATTTTTGTATCAGAATTACTCTGGCTTCACAGAATAAGTTAAGGAGGATCCCTCCTTCCTCTATTATTTGTAGAATTGGTACCAGTAAAATTGGTGCCAGTTCTTCCTTGTATGTCCGGTAAAATTCAGCTGTGAATTCACATGGTTCAGGGATTTTTTTAGTTGGTAGGTATTTTATTTCTGATTTAATTTTGGAACTTGTTATTGGTCTGTTTGAATGTTCACTTTTTTTCCTGGTTCTATCTTGGGAGCTTGTGTGTTTCCAGGAATTTATCAATTTTCTTAGATTTTCTAATTTGTGTGCATATAGCCATTCATACTAGTCTTGAAGGATCTTTTGTATGTCTGTGGGATCTCTTATAATATCAACTTTGTCATTTCTGATTGCGCTTATTTAAATCTTTTTTTTCTTTGTTTTTCTAGCTGGTAGTCTATCCATCTTGCTTATTATTTTGCAGAACCAACTCTTGGTTTTATTGTTTTCTTTAATGGATTTTTACTTCCCAATTTCATTCAGTTCTTCCATGATTTTAATTCTTTTCTCCTGCTAGCTTTGAGATTGGTTTGTTTTCTTTTTTTTTTTTTTACAGTTCCTCTAGGTGTGATGTTAGGTTGTTAATCTGAGATCTTTCTAAGTTCTAGATGTATTTAGTGTTATAAACCTTCCTCTTAACACTACTTTAGCTGCATTGCAAAGATATTGGTTAGTTGTATCTCTATTTTCATTAATTTTGATTTTTTAAAATTTCTGTCTTAATTCCATTGTTTACCCGAGAGTTACTCATGAACAAGTTGTTCAGTTTCCATGTTTTAGTTTAGTGTTGAAAAATTTTCTTGGTATTGATTTCTATTTTTATTGCACTGTGGTCAAAGTGTGTGTTTGATATGATTTTAATTTTTTTGAATTTATTGAGACTTGTTTTATGACCAAGCATGTGGCTGATCTTAGAATATGTTCCCTATGTGGATGAGAAGAATGTGTATTCTGTGGTTGTTGGGTGGAGTATTCTGTAGCTGTCTGTTAGGTCCAATTATTTGAGTTCTAGTGTAAGTTCAGAATTTCTTTGTTAGTTTTCTGCCTTGATGATCTGTCTAACACTGTCAGTGGGGTGTTGAAATCCTTCATTATTGTGTGGCTGTCTAAATCTTTTTGTAGGTCAATAAAAACTTGTTCTATGAATCTGAGTGCTCAAATCTTTGGTGTGTATATATTTAGTATAGTTAAGTCTTTTTGTTCAACTGACCCCTTTATAATTATGAAGCATCTTTCTTTGTCTCCTCTGATTGTTATTGGTTTAAAGTCTGTTTTATCTGATATAAGAATAGTGACTCCTGCTCTTTTTTGTTTTCTGTTTGCATTGTAGATCTTTGTCAGTCCCTTTACTTTGAGCCTGTAGGTGTTGTCACACATGAGATGGATCTCTTGAAGACAGCGGAAAGTGTGGTCTTGTCTTTTTATGCAGATTGCCACCCTGTGCATTTCATGTGGGGGCATTTAGGCCATATATACTCAGGTTTATTATTAAACTGTAAGATTTTTATTCTATTGTCATGTTATTAGCTGATTGTTTTGTAGACCTGATTGTGTAATTTCTTTATATTTTCTATGGGTTATGTGTTTAAATGCCTTTTGTGGTAACAGGTATCAATATTTATTTTAATCTTTAGCATTCCCTTAAGGACCTCTTGTAAGGCTGATGTAGTGTTAACAAATTCCCTTGGTGTTTGCTTGTCTGAGAAGGATTTAATATCTCTGTCACTTATGAGCTTAATTTGGTGGGTTGTGAAATTCTTAGTTGGAATTTCTTTTCTTGAGCATGCTGGAAATAGTTCCATAATCCCTTCTGAATTATAAGGTTTCTGGTGACAGATCTGCTACCAGCCTGATGGAATTATCTTTGTAAGTAATCTGATCTTTCTCTCTAGCTGCCTTTAAGATGTTTTTCTTTCATGATGACCTTAGTCAGTTTCATGACTATGTGCCTTGAAGATGGTCATTTTTTAATAGTATTTCAAAGAAGTTATCTGCATTTCTTGAATTTACATGTCAACCTATATACTGAGATTGGAGAAATTTTCATGGACTATGTCCTCAAATATGTTTTCCAAGTTGCTTACTCTCTCTCCTTCTCTCAGGAATGCCAATGAGTCATAGATTTGGTCTCTTTACGTAATCACATATTCTCAGAGGTTTTGTCTATTTTTAAAAAACTTTTTTTTTTATTTTTGTCTGACTGAGTTGATCTGAATAACCAGTCAATGAGCTCTGAGATTTTTTTTTTTTTATTCAGCTTGGTCTATTCTTCTGTTAGTGCTTCAAACTGTGTTATGAAATTCATGTAGTGAAATTCTCAATTCCAGAGTTTCAGTTTGGTTCTTTCTTAAAATAGCTATTTTATTTTTCAGCTCTTGGAGTATTTTACTGGATTCCTTAGATTCCTTGAATTGGGTTTTGACATTTTCTGGGATCTCCATGAGCTCTCTTGCTATCTAGGTTATATATTCTATGTCATTTCAGTCATTTTAATCTGGCTAAGAACCATTGCTTAGGGGCTAGTGTGCTTGTCTGAAGGTAAGGGAACTCTCTGGCTTCTTAAACTGCCACAGTTCTTGCATGGATTCTTTCTCATTTGAGAGGGCTGAATATATATATATTCATATATATATATATCATCTATATCATCTATATATCTATTGATATATATATCATATATATCATCTGTATATCATAGATGATATGTATATCATCTATCCATATATATCAATATCATATATATCATATATGTCATATACCATATATAATAAATATATATGATATATGATATATATGATATTGATCTGAGTTGATCTGAATAATATATATCATATATATCCATATATATCAATAGATACATATATGGTATATATGATAGATATGTGAATATATATATTCAGCCCTCTCAAATGAGAAAGAAATCATATATATATATATATCACACGCATATGTATGTGTGATAGGGTGACGTATATATATATCATATATATATGTGTGTGTGATAGGGTCTCGCTATGTTACTCATGTCACCCAGGCTTCAGTACAGTGGCATGATCATGGTTCACTGTAGCCTTGACCTCTTAGGCTCAAGCGATCCTCCCACCTTAGCCTACCAAGTAGCTGGGACTTCAGGCACGTGGGACTACACCTGACTAATTTCTTTTTAAATTTTTTTTTTCTTTGTAAAGACAGGGCTTTGCCATGTTGCCCAGGCTGGTCTCAAACTCCTGGGCTAGAACGATCCACCTTTCTCAGCCTCCCAAAGTTCTGGGGTTACAGGCATAAACCACCACACCACCACACCTGGCTTGTGGCATATATTAAGTATAGTCATTTTGCCTACTTTCTGGGTGCTTTTAGAGGTGAGGGCTCTGTGCAGGATCTTTATTTGTGGCTGGTTTCTTACCTTAGGGCTCACTGGCACTTTACTCTGGCAAAATATTTTTGGTGTTGTAATTTGGGCTGCAATCCAGTAGATGTTACTTAAGGGTGATTGACTGCAGATAGGCTCATAGCCACATGGCTCTTGCATTTTAGTACATTCATAGTAGTGCTCCTTGGTGGTGGGAGTGGGGAGCAGTGAAGTGGGGAAGAGATGAATCCCTCACTATGTCTTATTCTGGGCCTTGGAGGAACTGCCTCTGATCACTGGTGCCATGCCTGCATTTTCTTTTTCATGTGTTTTGGGCTATGGGGCTCCCTTGAGCAGAGACCATGGCTGGCATATATGTCACACCCTTCCTGGATTAGCCCTGCAGAGGTAGGCATGCCCTGTTACTGTGCTGCTCAACAAACCCAGATGTCTTACCCCTCTCAGTGTTCAGAAAGCAGGGCTCTTCCCCCAGTCAGATACCAACAAGCCAGCTAGTCTTGCCTGGTAAGAGGTCAGGGTTGGGGAGTGTCACATGATCTGGCACCCAGACAGTTCCCTGGGGAATGCAAAGCTGTGCCCACTCACAGAGTTTAGCAGAAATGGAGTCACTGAGGAAGAAACCCAAGCCAGTGACTCTAGAAGAAATAGCAATCTAAAATGTATATTCACCTGTAAACAGAACTGAGAATGTAAAGTAAAACCTGCAAAATTCTCATAAGTTTTCTCTGTCCCCTTCTACTGGCCTCAGGGACTGCTGCTTGCACTGCTGAAGGAAGCTGGTATCCACACAGGAACAAGGACCAGACTAGCAAGAATTCTGAACACTTTGAATCCTCAATATGTTTATATTTTTAAAACTCAAAAACACTCTAAATGATAAATTATCTTGAAATTAGATACAAATAATAATAATAGAAGTAATAATAAGTAATAATAAATATACAGTTCAGGATGTTGATTACTTTTGGGAAGATTACACAGGCAAGTCAAAAGAATTAAATAGGGTAAGGGTACTTAAAGTGAACATACTTTAGTAATATTCTAGTCATTGGTTTGGATTATTGGTTCATTGAATGTTCACTATATTATTAAACAAATGAATAATTTAGATAAGTAAATGGATGCAGTAAATCAAAAGGACCATAAAAAACAAAAAGATAATCAAATATGTCACAAAACAAGGCTTATGATTAATCCAATTCTATATAGCTAGGTTCAATGGAGAAAAGATAATTTAGCTACCAAGGATGTATATGAAAGTCATTTAAAACATGAGGTAAAACTGAGATAATCTAAATGTGCAAAAATAGGAGATTGTTTAAATAAATTGGTATGCAACAGTTAGGATCACAGAAGAGAACAGATGGCACTCTCAAATGGGGTAATTGAGGAGTTTAATAAAGAGACTACTTTTTTTAAAATGTGGCAAAGTTAAAGGAAAATAGCTAGGATGGTAAAGTCCCTTGGAGTTAGCAACAGTGGGGAAACTGGCATCCTTTGTTATCCAAGTTCAAAGATAATAATCACAGCTTAGATATTTTACTTCTCATTGATGTTCCATTTAAACTCTGAAATTATCTTGACTATAAAGTTTTAACCTTTTGGGGTTCCCAAAACAATTTTGCAGGATTTGAGTCTATGGAAGCCCTGTCTTCAATAGATCTTTGCAATTTCTCATTGCCCATTATTGTTGAGCATACCAAGAGAAACCTTAGAGAATTTCTTGGTTCCAGATATAGTTCTTACTTGCTCGCACTGTGTGGCAGAAAACCCATTTTCCCTTGGTAACCTTCATCTCTGCCTACTGGCTTACAGCCTGAGGACCCCTGTATGGTCAGGAAGCAGTCTTGGTCTCCCATTTGTCAAAACAATGACTGTGTTCTCTGACAAGTAGGTTTCACTGAGACCAAAGTCACAAAGAGGGAAAATAATATTTCCTTCAGTAAACTGTTTGCCACAATAATGAGAATATTCATTCTTTTCATACGATTGCTCCTCAGCATGAGACTGGCTAGGACAGAGCTCTAAATTAGGTCTGTAAATAACTCTGGTCTTGATCTAGACACTTAGCGATATCTTCTCTGTGACTACAGGAGATAAGCAAATTCTTCAAGGCTTCCATAGATGCTTTCTGATTTTCCATTTGCATTTTCAGTTGGGAATTAAGTGATTTCAGCTTCTCTCTCTTTCTTTTTTTTCTTCTTTTCTTCTGTCCTTTTCTCCCTTCCTCTCGCACTCCCTTCATTATTTTTGTCTCTCTCTCTGTTTTTACTGTATATAATCCTTAGTGCCATAAGAAGCTACTAGATGACCCTACACACTTTATAATTGCTATTATTACCATAGCAGTTAAGTGCCATAGCCACTTGATCTCCCAACAGCTTGCCCTCCACTTATAATTTATCTCATGTCACTAGCAATACTAACTGGTAATTATAGTGCAATTTAATGAAAGAGATTACTTACATTCCTTTCTTTTCCCCCAAGAAGGTAGATATTTCCTGAGTTTGCCTTCTGTTTTCCGGAGTGGCTTCTGATAACATTTATTGCATCAATAAGATTTTCATCAAGAAAAAGAATACAAGAAGAATTTTTGGAGCACTTATTAATAAAGGAATAATTTAACTGCCATGGTCAGGTTAAGGGGTTAAGGTGACCATGAGGATGATTTCTCATTTCAAAGAGAAATGAGGAATCACCCTCAGGCTAGCAAAAAGTAGAGAACCATTACCACTCTCAGGCTTGAATGCGAAGATGTAGTTACTGGAACTAAGAGAGAGGGGCTATAGTACAGGGAGAAGTCCAATCAATATAATTTCTGGCTTTAGTTTGAGGGACTCAGCCAATATTGAGACTTGGTGGAGAGGGAGACCAAGATCAGATCTTACTCTCTGTGAGCACTTTGATCTCCTGCTGGAGTCTCCAATTGGCAGAACTCAATTGGGGGCCAGAAGGCAAGATCCCAGTGGATGTAGCCCATATGGGTCTGATTCTAGGGACTAGAGCAGAGTTGAGAATGATTACATATCCTCTGAAGGAGCAACTAAAAAAAAATCCATCACACAACTGAAAGAAGTATTCAGTCACTAGGAATGATGCTAAAGAAAAAATATTCATAGATATGACACAATGTATACATCATGTTTATAATTTTTATAAAGTGGGTTATAAATTCACATTTCATAATTAAGATTAATATAGATAAATAGACTAGAGAGACATGGAGAACAAATAATAATATTGGAATGGGAAACAAATGATTTTAGAGACAGTATCTCCAAAGGAGAAAAAATGAAAGAAAATCTGAGGGATAGACTATCTGTGTTTGGATGTACTGAACAGTGATTTTCATTTTGTGTAGGGAGATCTGAGATGAATTAGAGAAACTTACCTTAAAAAAAACAAAAGGAAAATGAGTATATTTCTGACTGTAGTTCATTTCTTGATACCCTAAGCTGTTCACTCAGAGCATTACACACACACGTGCATGCGTGCACACACACACACACGGAGAGAAAGATACAGAGAGGGAGAGAACAAATAAAATAATTTTCAGGATAGACAAAGAATGAAATGGGAAAAGTTCCCTTATCCCCCTTGCAGGGCATGTGATGGGAGTGTGGCTCGCTTCCTGGGTACTCAAAACCCCTAGGCAATCAGACAGAGGGGCAGGTTGTGGGGCTCTGACCCCTGACCCCACGGCAGTGTCTAGGGGTAAATGTTTACAGCTCCTGAGGCCCCAGTGGGCTTGTGTTACCATGTGCTCTTTTAGTTTAGCCATCCGTAGGGGGCTAAACACAGCACAATTATATCCCTTGCCTTATCAAAGGGAAAGGGGGCTTTCAGTATCTTGGAGTTTCTTGCCTTGGTGTACCAGAAGAACCAGATAACACATGGGCTTGGAGAATGAGTGCAAGGTTTTATTGAGTAGAAGTAGCTCTCAGCAGATGGGGGAGTGAGAAGGGAATTGAAGTGGGAAGGTGGTTTTCCCCTGGAGTTGGACCACTTAGTGGCCTAGGCTCTCCTCTGACTGCCCCGGCCAAACTCCCCTTCATTCCACCGGGCAATGGCCTGCCAGCCTGCTGACGTCTGTCAGTGTGCTGTTACACAGTGCATTCCCCTCGACATCCAGCTGCTTGTGTCTCTGCCCTCTAGGGTCTCAGTTTTTGTTGTTGTTGTTGTTTGTTTGTTTGTTTGTTTCTTTTTCCATACTTCAAGTTCTGGGATACATGTGCAGAACGTGCAGGTTTGTTACATAGGTATACACGTGCCATGGTGGTTTGCTGCACCCATCAACCCGTCATCTACATTAGGTATTTCTCCTAATGCTATCCCTTCCGTAGCCCCCCACACCCCAACAGGCCCCAGTGTGTGATGTTCCCCTCCCTGCGTCCATGTGTTCTCATTGTTCAACTCCCACTTATGAGTGAGAACATGCAGTGTTTGGTTTTCTGTTCTTGTGTTAGTTTGCTGAGAACGATGGTTTCCAGTTTTATCCATGTCCCTGCAAAGACATGAATTCATCTTTTTTATGGCTGCATAGTATTCCATGGTGTATATGTGCCACATTTTTGTTATCCAGTCTATCATTGATGGACATTTGGGTTGGTTCCAAGTCTTTGCTATTGTGAATAGTGCCACAATAAACATACATGTGCATGTGTCTTTATAGTAGCATGATTTACAATACTTTGGGTATATACCCAGTAATGGATTGCGGAGTCAAATGGTATTTCTGGTTCTAGATCCTTGAGAAATTGCTACACTGCCTTCCACAATGGTTGAACTAATTTACACCCCCACCAACAGTGCAAAAGCTTACCTATTTCTCTACATCCTCTCCAGCATCTGTTGTTTCCTGAGTTTTTAGTGATCACCATTCTAACTGGCATGAGATGGTATCTCATTGTGGTTTTGATTTGCATTTCTCTAATGACCAGTGATGATGAGCTATATATATATATATGTTTGTTGGCTACATAAATGTCTTCTTTTGAGAAGTGTCTGTTCATATCCTTTGCCCAATTTTTGATGGTTTTTTTTTTTCCTGTAAATTTGTTTAAGTTCCTTGTAGATTCTGGATATTAGCCCTTTGTCAGATGAATAAATTGAAAAAAATTTCTCCCATTCTGTAGGTTGCCTATTCACTCTGATGATAGTTTATTTTGCCGTGCAGGGTCTCAGGGTTTTTATAGACACAGGATGGGGGCATCGTGGGCCAGGGTAGTCTTGGGAAATGAAACATTTGGGCAAGAAGGCAGGAGTGCCTGTCCTCTCCAAGTCCATAGGCACAGGCCTTGGGGTGGAGCCCTCGCCAGGGACCCGCCCTTCTCTACTCAGCACTTCCCTGCATCCCTCCAGTATCAAGAGGAAGAGAAGATTGCTAAAAAGTCTCCTACAAAACTTGATTTACTCTTCAGGTTAGAGATTGAGTATATGAAGAAGGATCTCCATCACGGATAAAGTAAAGAGAAGTTCCTATGGAAGTGGGTAGAGTAAGTCCTAAATTTAACTAAAATTTTGCATGCCATCTTATCAGGCTCCTTTAAGTATAATATACTGATAATTATGTGTGATATACCAGGTGACCAGATTTGTTGTTTGCATAAGTCTGAGTTTTTCCATAATGAATGAGTTTAAATTCCAGATAAAGAACAAAATGCACACACACAAACAAAAAGTTTAGTGTTCATCTTTAGGAGTGAGAAAAAACGGAGACATTTTTGAAGACTGCATTTCACTATGCAAGCCCCCTTGGAAATTTCAGAATGATAAAGGATAAAATGGTGGTAGGAGCTCGTGAAAGAAAGGTAATCAGACAAAGATCTAGTCTACAGCAACAGCAGAACGGGAAAACAAAGAGAGGTCCAGAGAAACATCTTCTTCTCTTCAGATGTTCCCTAACATATTTTTTGTTTACTAATGTTTTCTGGGAGTTACTTGAGTATTTCTTTAAGTTGCACTTTATTTCCTGAAGCCATTTAGTGACACAGTTTTTCTTTTCTTTTCTAAAGCTTGATAATTCTTAGATTAAGAAGTTTCTCTCATTCCCCAGTTTTTATTTCATATTTTTAACTAGTTTATACAAAATCTGTGCTCTTATTTATTTCCCTAACACTGCTTGCACCTCCATTATTTCATTGATTTTCAGAAGAGAAGTTATATGTGAGTCAAAACTAATTTTCTTCCTTTTGGCACTAAGCCTTAAGAACTGTTTTTGCATTAATCTGAAAGGGAAGCTTCACACTTCATTTAGTAACTACACATTAAAAAGAAGTTTTCATTTTCTACTGCTGAATATAGATCAACACAAATCCTCCATTAAGGATGAAAATCTTTTCCTTAATTCCTAGGCACATCTATAAAGCTTTCTATATCCTTACTTTAATATTAAACACACAGGCATTTTATTTTGAAAATAAAAAAGGTTTTTTATTTCCTGTTTATTTTTTAAATCAGGTAGATATATCTCCTTGCTTACCAACTATAATCTTTACACTCATCCAGTTTCAAACATGGGCAGGTGCTTAAAAAATGTCTCTGAATTTTAATTTTTTATTGCTAATAGTCTTATTCTGTCTAGGATATTGAGGATACAGTGACAAAAGAAATAGATATGGCCTCTATCCTTAAGAAGTTTGCAGTCTTTATGCTATTAATACAATATCCCATCCTATTATTTTTCCAACATGAAATTGTTTACTTATAACTTTATCTTACTTGAAATCATTGCCGCTTTCCTTTATATCTAATCATAAATGAGGCAAAGCAGTTTTTGACAGCTATAATATATATTTAGGGTGGCTCTTTTAACAGAGCAATTTCACAAAGCTAAGGGCATGTGCAAAGATATTAGTGTGAACCACTTTCCTATAATATTCATGTTTTTCAGCCCTGATTTTGCTCAGGATACTGGCATATGCACTCCGGCAGGATGTTCTGTCTTGCTTCCTCCACTTCATTTCCCATTTCAGAGAATAGGTTTCTATCTTTGCAAAAGCTGCTGTGCACAAAACAGTGCTGTCTGTTTTGCTGTTCCTCATTTCTTCCTTCAATCCTAAAATCTCTTTTATTATTTTTAATGGAGGTACCTCAGAGCCTTCATCCTTCAAATTAAAAAAATTCTAAATGGAATAAAAGTGACAAAATTGTCCCAGTTCGCTCCAAACTTTCTTTTTTTTAAAATTTTATTATTATTATACTTTAAGTTTTAGGGTACATGTGCACAACGTGCAGGTTTGTTACATATGTATACATGTGCCATGTTGGTGTGCTGCACCCATTAACTTTTAGCATGGAAAGTTCCACATGCTGGAAAGCCCCTTGGTTCCAGGCAAATCAATATGGTTTATCAATTTAATTATGTACTTGTTATTTTGCTAGAGGCCAAGATGGGAAAATCCAAAGTTGAATAACACTCTCTGCTGTGGAAGAACTTACAGTAACAAAAGGCCTAATACAATTACCAGGGACAAATTGTTCTAAGATAATCAGAACATTAGAAATGACACTTTTCCTTATTTTTATAAACCATAATATATCTGGCTACAGGACAACTCACTATGGTTGGCCAGACATTTAATACATGTTATTTTGAATCCTTTCTCCTTTTCTCTTGGATTTTACCCTGGGCCCTGTGTGAGCCAGGACATAGGGCAAGGGCTTTACTGCTCAGTGCTTTGCAGTCACTTCTGCTGCTGATTCTTGCCTCTACCTGAATGACATTTGGGGGACAACTATGATACAGTCCAAGGTCACATTACTCAGTGCTCAGGCTTCACAAATGCCCAAATAGACACCATCATCTGAAGTCCTGTTACTTGAAAAGTGCGTTGACTTACATTTATATAATTTTTTTAAAATTATTATACTTTAAGTTCTGGGGTACACGTGCAGAATGTGCAGGTTTGTTACATAGGTATACACGTGCCATGGTGGTTTACTGCACCCATCAACCCGTCATAAACATTAGGTATTTCTCCTAATGCTATCCCTCTTCTAACTCCCACCCCACCACAGGCCCCGGTGTGTGATGTTCCCCTCCCTGTGTCCATGTATTCTCAGCAAACTAACACAAGAACAGAAAACCAAACACTGCAGGTTGTCACTCATAAGTGGGAGTTGAACATTTATACACTATTAAAGACAACAATTCTATAATGTTAATAATTACCCATAAAACTTATGTGATGGTATTAAATCGGGTAAATTTCTAGAAACAAAATGAGATGGTTAAATGATAGGATTACCTTAAATTTCCTTGAAGCAGATTACCAAGTTAATATCCAGAAACTATTTTCTCCAATTTATAGTACCACCATGGATATAAGACAATGTTCAGTTTTTACTAGCAAACACTGAATATTGAGATAAAATTGACTGCTTTTGCACTCATAGAGATAAAATGATACTTCGGTTAAATTAAAAACAACAATTAACATTGAAGTTGAATATTTGCATTTGTTGTGCTTCTTTTTTATTTTTTGTCTCTTTCAGAATACTAATTGGAAAGAGCTTTTCTGTAACAAATACATTAAATTTCTATCAGTAGACTGAACATAGCTTTCTCAACTTGAAATTTGCCTTTTTACTTTTTTATGTTAATAAATAACATATTTGAAGAATACGATATTTTAGAAATAATTAGAAATAATTCTAATTACCTTTTCCTACATTGTTTCTCTCTATAGATTTTTGATTATAAGACCTATTCTACTACTAGATCTATGCTCTCTGTTCTTCAGATATTTTTATGGTTATTTATTTTTACACATGAATATTTCACTTATCTAGGATGTATTGTAAGTATGATAAATAGATGCAATTCTCCTTCCCAAATAGCCAAGTGCCAAACCACCAATTTTTTTCTTCTTTTAATCAATAATCTTAAGTTCCACTAAATTTTCTAATATACTAAAATTTGCTTTTGCCATCCTTAGATTTCCATCCTGTGTCATAAATGTATGAAGAGCTAATGCTGTATCATGCTGTTTTAACTGTATGTTTTCAGTATATTCTAATATCTGCTATCATAAACCTATTTTATGCTTCCAAATCCATCCTCACTCTAATTGCTGCTCTTTCTTCAAAATATCTCAGGCTGTATAATTTTCTTTATAGTTCTGGGTTATATTTAAGATAATCTCTTCAAATAAAAAAGCCTTTATACTATATGTTAATTTTTAGAGAAGATTACAATTCTGAATTTTGCCATCTAGGAATATTTTTGTCTCTCCAACTGTTTAATACTTCATTTACAATCTTTCAAAATATTTGTAATTTGCTTTTTCATATAAGTACATCACATTTCTTTGCAAGGTTCATATATTTTAATTCTATGTTTAACAAGAAGATCCTTCCTTTCCATATTTTCCCCCTTTGTTTATTGTTAGTACATAAGAAAGTTATTTGTTTTTATAAGTATATTTCAACGGAAAATTTACTGAGCACCATTCATATTGTAATATTATAAAATTTATGAGTGTCATAATATATTTTCCTGGATTTCAAGATCAACAGTAATAAAATCCATCAAATGACAATTTTGTCTTTGTTTCAGTATTTATACAGTTTATTTCAATATCTAGTGTTAGTAGTCATCCACTTACAAACCATCATAAATATCAATGGTGGTAGTGAGTAAATATTTCGTGATCTCACTTTAATGAGAATTAAACTTGTGTTTCATTTTTCACTTTGATGCTAGCTGTTAGTTTGATATATAGACAAAATCATTTTTAAAGGTACAAGGGGACTCTCTGTCCTATTGTTGCTGTATTTCCTTAGTTCAGCTAAAGATGGGGTCCTTATCACATGGCCATTAAAGATTAGGCTCGCAGACAATTTGAAAAGTGAATGAGGCAGGGTTTTATTGGGAGAAAAGGACAGAAAGAGGAAACAGAGACCTTCTGCAAAGCCAGAGTCCCTGCTGGTGTGCTTCCAGCCTCACAGTTGGAATCCCAGGTTCCACACAGGAAAAGGCGGGGCCAGGCTCCTCCCTGCTGCAAATGGGGACAAACTTCTGTGGCTCCACCCCAGTGCGCACTGCACCCAGTGTGCAGGCTGGTTGGAGTTTTGCCAGGGAGTGCTTCCCACCTGACTGTCTCACTATCTTTGCAACTTCCTGTAAATCTATAATTACTACCAAATAAAATATATAAATTTAAAAACATTGGAATATCTTTTGTTTTTACTTATCTAGCACTTATTCTTTCTTCCTCTGATAAGTGACCTATTTTTATTTTCTTTGGAGCTACTCTTTCTTTTTTTGAATACAATCTCAGTGAGACTGTCAACCGAGTTATCCTCATTTTTATTTTTATTTATTTATTTTCTTGAGATAAAGTCTCGCTCTGTTACCCAGGCAGGGTATCCTCATTTTTAGAGCCAGAGACAGATGAGGAATAACAAAGGGAGACAGATGAGAAGTCACAGGGAGGAGATTTTGGCATCCTTGAAATTAGGCAGATGGAGTCTAAAAAGAGAAGTGGTCCATAGTTTTGAAAACTACAGTACGTCTTAGTAGAATGAGAACTGTGAACCTGTTTTTTTACTGGCTATCAGAACTTTGGGGACTGTTATAAGAATCACATGAGCCAGGCACCATGGCTCATGCCTGTAATCCCAGCATCTGGGGAGGACAAAGCAGGAGGATTGTTTGAGCCTAGGAGTTTGAGACCAACATAACGAAACCCCATCTCTACAAAAAAAAAAAATAAAATAAAATGCAAAAAATTAGCTGGGTTTGGTGGCACACACCTGCAGTCCTAGCTACTCAGTAGGCTGAAGCAAGAAGATTGCTAGAGTCTGGGAGGTTGAGGCTGCAGTGAGCTGTGAGCCATGATCGCACAACTGCACTCCAGCTTGGGTGACAGAGTGAGACTCTGTTTCAAAAAAAGAAAATTAAAAAGAATTTAATCTTTAAATTCCTCAAGTATTCTAAAATAATCTAGGAAGGAAACCCTACAATCTATGTTTTTAGTAAGCAAAACTGATAATTTTGTTACAAGAAGTACACAGACCACAGTTTTCAGAAACACTAGATGGGCATGCTTTTTCCTTGTAAGATAAAGAACATGAAATCACTGAATTCAGGGCAAATTAAATGACCAAACCAAATCAATATTCTGATTGATCTGATTTAGTTTGCAGAAACTAGTCATTACCATGGCAAAGGGCAGTGGAGGAATATTCAATAAAATGATTTTTATATACATAAAATAAACATGATACTATTATTCCTTGATCCTTTTGTGTAACTTCTGATACTATTTTCAGTTAAACAAAAAATTTAATTTCAAAATGCCCTCTCTTATTTCCTTGAGCAGTGGTTTGTAGATCTCCTTGAAGAGGTCCTTCAGATACCTTGTTAGCTGTATTCCTAGGTATTTTATTCTCTTTGTAGCAATTACGAATGGGAGTTCATTCATGATTTGGCTCTCTGCTTGTCCTTTGTTGGTGTATAGGAATGTTTGTGATTTTTGCACCTTGATTTTTGTATCCTGAGACTTTGTTGAAGCTGCTTATCACCTTAAAAATTTTTTGGGCTGAGACGATGGGGCTTTCTAAATGTAGAATCATGTCATCTGCAAACAGAGACAATTTGATTTCCTCTCTTCATATTTTAATACCCTTTATTTACTTCTTTTGTTTGATTGCCCTAGTCAGAACTTTTAATACCATGTTGAACAGGAGTGTGAGAGAGGGCATCCTTGTCTTGTGCTAGTTTTCTTTCATATATGTATATATATATTTTTTAATTATAATTTAAGTTCTAGGGTACATGTACACAACGTGCAGGTTTGTTACATATATGTTCATGTGTGATGTTGGTGTGCTGTACCCATTAACTCGTCGTTTACATTAGGTATATCTCCTAATGCTATCCCTCCCCCTTCCCCCCCCCTTCACAACAGGCCCCGGTGTGTGATGTTCCCCTTCCTGTGTCCAAGTGTTCTCATTGTTTAATTCCCACCTATGAGTGAGAACATGCGGTGTTTGGTTTTTTGTCCTTGTGATAGTTTGCTGAGAATGATGATTTCCAGCTTCATCCATGTTCCTAACAAAAGACATGAATACATCATTTTTTATGGCTGCATAGTATTCCATGGTGTATATGTGCCACATTTTCTAAATCCAGTCTATCATTGATGGACATTTGGGTTGGTTCCAAGTCTTTTGTTTTTATTATTACAGTTTTAGTTTTAGGGTACATGTGCACAACGTGCAGGTTTGTTACATATGTATACATGTGCCATGTTGGTGTGCTGCACCCGTTAACTGGTCATTTAGCATTAGGTATATCTCCTAATGCTATCCCTCCCCTCTCCTCCCACCCCACAACAGGCCCCGGTGTGTGATGTTCCCCTTCCTGTGTCCACGTGTTCTCATTGTTCAGTTCCCACCTATGAGTGAGAATATGCGGTGTTTGGTTTTTTGTCCTTGAGATAGTTTGCTGAGAAGGATGGTTTCCAGCTTCATCCATGTCCCTACAAAGGACATGATCTCATCATTTTTTATGGCTGAATAGTATTCCATGGTGTATATGTGCCACATTTTCTTAATCCAGTCTATCACTGTTGGACATTTGGGTTGGTTCTAAGTCTTTGCTATTGTGAATAGTGCCGCAATAAACATACGTGTGCATGTGTCTTTATAGCAGCATGATTTATAATCCTTTGGGTACATACCCAGTAATGGGATGCCTGGGTCAAATGGTATTTCTAGCTCTAGATCCCTGAGGAATCGCCACACTGTTTTCCACAATGGTTGAACTACTTTACAGTCCCACCAACAGTGTAAAAGTGTTCCTATTTCTCCACATCCTCTCCAGCACCTGTTGTTTCCTGACTTTTTAATGATCGCCATTCTAACTGGTGTGAGATTATATCTCATTGTGGTTTTGATTTGCCTTTCTCTGATGGCCAGTGATGATGAGCATTTTTTCATGTGTCTGTTGGCTGCATAAATGTCTTCTTTTGAGAAGTGTCTGTTCATATCCTTTGCCCACTTGTTGATGGTGTTGTTTTTTTTCTTGTAAATTTGTTTGAGTTCTTTGTAGATTCTGGATATTAGCCCTTTGTCAGATGAGGAGATTGCAAAAATTTTCTCCCATTCTATAGGTTGCCTGTTCACTCCGATGGTAGTTTCTTTTGCTGTGCAGAAGCTCTTGAGTTTAATTAGATCCCATTTGTCAATTTTGGCTTTTGTTGCCATTGCTTTTGGTGTTTTAGACATGAAGTCCTTGCCCATGCCTATGTCCTGAATGGTATTGTCTAGGTTTTCTTCTAGTGTTTTTATGGTTTTAGGTCTAACATTTAAGTCTTCAATCCATCTTGAATTAAGTTTTGTGTAAGGTGTAAGGAAGGGATCCAGTTTCAGCTTTCTACGTATGGCTAGCCAGTTTTCCCAGCACCATTTATTAAATAGGGAATCATTTCCACATTTCTTGTTTTTGTCAGTTTTGTCAAAGATCAGATAGTTGTAGATGTGTGGTATTATTTGTGAGGGCTCTGTTTTGTTCCATTGGTCTATATCTCTGTTTTGGTAACAGTACCATGCTGTTTTGTTTACTGTAGCCTTGTAGTATAGTTTGAAATCAAGTAGCATGATGCCTCTAGCTTTGTTCTTTTGGCTTATGATTGACTTGGCAATGCAGGCTCTTTTTTGGTTCCATATGAACTTTAAAGTAGTTTTTTTCCAATTCTGTGAAGAAAGTCATTGGTAGCTAGAAGAGGATGGCATTGAATCTGTAAATTACCTTGGGCAGTATGGCCATTTTCGCAATATTGATTCTTCCTATCTATGAGCATGGAATGTTCTTCCATTGGTTTGTATCCTCTTTTATTTCATTGAGCAGTGGTTTGTAGTTCTCCTTGAAGAGGTCCTTCATGTCCCTTGTAAGTTGGATTCCTAGGTATTTTATTCTTTTTGAAGCAATTGCGAATGGGAGTTCACTCACGATTTGACTCTCTGTCTGTTATTGGTGTATAATAAGGCTTTTGATTTTCGCATATTGATTTTGTATCCTGAGGCTTTGCTGAAGTTGCTTATCAGCTTCAGGAGATTTTGGGCTGAGACAATGGGGTTTTCTAAATATACAATCATGTCACCTGCACACAGGGACAATTTGACTTCCTCTTTTTCTAACTGAATACCGTTTAATTCTTTCTCCTGCCTAATTGCCCTGGCCAGAACTTCCAACACTATGTTGAATAGGAGTGGTGAGAGAGGGCATCCCTGTCTTGTGCCAGTTTTCAAAGGGAATGCTTCCAGTTTTTGCCCATTCAGTGTGATATTGGCTGTGGGTTTGTCATCAATAGCTCTTATTATTTTGAGATATGTCCCGTCAATACCTAATTTATTGAGAGTTTTTAGCATGAAGGGCTGTTGAATTTTGTCAAAAGCCTTTTCTGCATCTATTGAGATAATTACGTGGTTTTTGTCTTTGGTTCTGTTTATATGCCGGGTTACATTTATTGATTTGTGTATATTGAACCAGCCTTGCATCCCAGGGATGAAGTCCACTTGATCATGGTGGATAAGTTTTTGATGTGCTGCTGGATTCGGTTTGCCAGTATTTTTTTGAGGATTTTTGCATCGATGTTCATCAGGGATATTGGTCTAAGATTCTCTTTTTTTTTGTTGTGTCTCTGCCAGGCTTTGGTATCAGGATGATATTGGCCTCATAAAATGAGTTAGGGAGGATTCCCTCTTTTTCTATTGATTGGAATAGTTTCAGAAGGAATGGTACCAGCTCCCCCTTGTACCTCTGGTAGAATTTTGCTGTGATCTGTCTGGTCCTGGACTTTTTTTGGTTGGTAAGCTATTAATTATTGCCTCAATTTCAGAGCCTCTTTTTGGTCTATTAAGAGATTCAACTTCTTCCTGGTTTAGTCTTGGGAGGATGTAAGTGTTGATGAATTCATCCATTTCTTCTAGATTTTCTAGTTTATTTTCAAGGAGGTGTTTATAGTATTCTCTGATGGTAGTTTGCATTTCTGTGGGATCAGTGGTGATATCCCCTTTACCATTTTTTTATTGTGTCTATTTGATTCTTATCTCTTTTCTTCTTTATTAGTCTTGCTAGTGGTCTATCAATTTTGTTGACCTTTTCAAAAACCCAGCTCCTGCATTCATTGATTTTTTGAAGGGGTTTTTTTTTTTTTGTCTCTATCTCCTTCAGTTCTGCTCTGATCTTAGTTATTTCTTGCCTTCTGCTAGCTTTTGAATGTGTTTGATCTTGCTTCTTTAGTTCTTTTAATTGTGATATTAGGGTGTCAATTTTAGATCTTTCCTGCTTTCTCTTTTGGGCCTTTAGTGCTATAAATTTCCCTCTACACACTGCTTTGAATGTGTCCCAGAGATTCTGGTATGTTGTGTCTTTGTTCTCGTTGGTTTCAAAGAACATCTTTATTCTGCCTTCATTTTGTTATGTACCCAGTAGTCATTCAGGAGCAGGTTGTTCAGTTTCCATGTAGTTGAGTGGTTTTGGGTGAGTTTCTTAATCTTGAGTTGTAGTTTGATTGCACTGTGGTCTGAGAGACAGTTTGTTATAATTTCTGTTCTTTTACATTTGCTGAGGAGTGCTTTACTTCCAACTATGTGTTCAATTTTAGAATTAAGTATTATGTGGTGCTGAGAAAAATGTATATTCTGTTGATTTGGGGTGTACAGTTCTGTAAATGTCTATTAGGTCTGCTTGGTGCAGAGCTGAGTTCAATTCCTGGATATCCTTGTTAACTTTCTGTTTCGTTGATCTGTCTAATGTTGACATTGGGGTGTTAAAGTCTCCCATTATTATTGTGTGGGAGTCTAAGTCTCTTTGTAGTTCTCTAAGGACTTGCTTTATGAATCTGGGTTCTCCTGTATTGGGTGCATATATATTTAGGATAGTTAGCTCTTCTTGTTGAATTGATCCCTTTACCATTATGTACTGTCCTTCTTTGTCTCTTCTGATCTTTGTTGGTTTAAAATCTGTTTTATCAGGGACTAGGATTGCAACCCCTGCCTTTTTTTGCTTTCTGTTTGCTTGGTAGATCTTCCTCCATCCCTTTATTTTGAGCCTATGTGTGTCTCTGCATTTGAGATGGGTTTCCTGAATACAGCACACTGATGGGTCTTGACTCTTTATCCAATTTGCCAGTCTGTGTCTTTTAATTGGGGCATTTATCCCATTTACATTTAATGTTTATATTGTTATGTGTGAATTTGATCCTGTCATTATGATGTTAGCTGGTTATTTTGTTCGTTAGTTGATGACGAGTGATTTCTGCATTTCGAACTGAGCTACTGGGTTCATCTCACTGGGGCTTGTCAGACAGTGGGTACAGGACAGTGGGTGCAGCGCACGGAGTGTGAGCTGAAGCAGGTTGAGGCATTGCCTCACCGGGGAAGCACAAGGGTTCAGGGAATTCCCTTTCATAGCCGAGCAAAGCTGTGACACAGGGCACCTGGAAAATCGTCACTCCCACCCTAATACTGTGCTTTTCCAATGGTCTTAGCAAACAGCACACCAGGAGATTATATCCCACACATGGCCTGGAGGGTCCCACGTCCACAGAGCCTCACTCATTGCTAGCACAGCAGTTTGAGATCCAACTGCAATGTGGCAATGAGGCTAGGGGAGAGGCGCCCGCCATTGCTGAGGCTTGAGTAGGTAAACAGAGCAGTGGGGAAGCTGGAACCACAGCTCAAGGAGGCCTGCCTGCCTCTGTAGACTGCACCTCTGGGGGCAGGGCATAGCTAACAAAAGGCAGCAGAAACCTCTGCAGACTTAAGTGTCCCTGTCTGACAGCTTTGAAGAGAGTAGAGGTTCTCCCAGCATGGAGTTTGAGATCTGAGAATGGACAGACTGCCTCTTCAAGTGGGTCCCTGACCCCCGAGTAGCCTAACTGGGAGGCATCCCACCAGTAGGAGTAGACTGACACCTCACACGGCCAGGTATCCCTCTGAGATGAAACCTCCAGAGGTACAATCAGACAGCAACATTTACTGTTCAGCAATATTTGCTGTTCTGTAGCTTTCACTGCTGATACCCAGGCAAACGGTCTGGAGTGTACCTCCAGCGAACTCCAAAAGACCTGCAGCTGAGGGTCCTGACTGTTAAAAGGATAACTCACAAACAGAAAGGACATCCACACCAAAACCCCATCTGTACATCACCACCATCAAAGACCAAAGGCAGATAACACCACAAAGATGGGGAAAAAACAGAACAGAAAAACTGAAAATTCTAAAAATCAGAGCAACTCTCCTCCTCCAAAGGAACACAGCTCCTCACCAGCATTGGAACAAAGCTGGATGGAGAATGACTTTGACGAGTTGAGAGAAGAAAGCTTCAGATGATCAAACTTCTCCAAGCTAAAGGAGGAAGTTCGAACCCATCACAAAGAAGTTCAGAACCTTGAAAAAAGATTAGACGAATAGCTAACTAGAATAACCAATGCAGAGAAGTCCTTAAAGGACCTGATGGAGCTGAAAACCATGGCACAAGAACTACGTGACAAATGCACAAGCTTCAGTAGCCTATTTGATTAACTGGAAGAAGGGTATCAGTGATTGAAGATCAAATGAATGAAATGAAGCGAGAAGAGAAGTTTAGAGAAAGAAGAATAAAAAGAAATGAACAAAGCCTCCAAGAAATATGAGACTATGTGAAAAGACCAAATCTACATCTGATTGGTGTACCTGAAAGTGATGGGGAGAATGGAACCAAGATGGAAAACACTCTGCAGGATATTATCCAGGAGAACTTCCCCAACATAGCAAGGCAGGCCAACATTCAAATTCAGGAAATACAGAGAATGCCACAAAGATACTCATCGAGAAGAGCAACTCCAAGACACATAATTGTCAGATTCACCAAAGTTGAAAGGAAGGGAAAAATGTTAAGGGCAGCCTGAGAGAAAGGTCAGGTTACCCACAAAGGGAAGCCCATCAGACTAACAGCTGATCTCTTGGCAGAAACTCTACAGGCCAGGAGAGAGTGGGGGCCAATATTCAAAGTTCTTAAAGAAAAGAATTTTCAACCCAGAATTTCAAATCCAGCCAAACTAAGCTTCATAAGTGAAGGACAAATAAAATCCTTTACAGATAAGCAAATGCTGAGAGATTTTGTCACCACCAGGCCTGCCCTACAAGAGCTCCTGAAGGAAGCACTAAACATGGAAAGGAAAAACTGGTACCAGCCACTGCAATAACATGCCAAATTGTAAAGACTGTCGATGCTAGGTCTTGTGCTAGTTTTCAAAGGAAATGCTTCCAGCTTTTCCACATTCAGTATGATATCGACTATGGGTTTGTTATAAATAGCTCTTATTATTTTGAGATAGGTTCCATCAATACCTAGTTTATTGAGTGTTCTTAACATAAAAGGATGTTGAATTTTATCGAGGCCTTTTCTGGATCTATCGAGATGATCATGCTGTTTTTGTCATTAGTTCTGTTTATGTGATGGATTACGTTTATTGATTTGCATATGCTGAAGCAGCCTTGCATTTCAGGGATGAAGCGTACTTGACTGTGGTGGATAAACTTTTTTATGTGCTGCTGGATTCAGTTAGCTGGTAATTTGTAGAGGATTTTCGCATCAATGTTCATCAGGAATACTGGCCGGAAGCTTTTTTGTTGTTGTGTGTCTGCCAGGATTTCAAAAAACATTCCATCCTCATGGATAGGAAGAATCAAGATTGTGAAAATGGCCATAATCCTCAGAGTAATTTATAGATTCATTGCTATTCCCATCAAACAACCATTGACATTCTTCACAGAATTAGAAAAAACTACTTTAGATTTCATATAGCACCAAAAAAGAGCCCATATAGCCAAGACAATCCTAAACAAAAAGAACAAAGCTGGAGGCATCACACTACCTGACTTCAAATGATATTGCAAGGCTACAGTAACAAAAACAGTAAGGTACTGGTACCAGAACAGACGTATAGACTAATGGAACAAAACAGAGACCTCAGAAATAACACCACACATCTACAACCATCTGATCTTTGACAAACTGGACAATAAGCCATGGGGAAAATATCTCCTACTCAATAAATAGTTCTGGGAAAACTCACTAGCCATGTGCAGAAAACTGAAACTGGACCCCTTCCTTACACCTTGCACAAAAATTAATTCAAAATGGATTAAAGACTTAAATGTAAAACCCAAACCATAAAAACCCTAGAAAAAAACCTAGGAAATACCGTCAGGACATAGGTATGGGGAAAGACTTCATGACAAAAATGCCAAAAGCAATTGTAACAAAAGCCAAAATTGACAAATGGAATATAATTAAACTAAAGAGTTTCTGCACACCAAAAGAAACTATCATCAGAGTGAACAGGCAACCTACAGAATGGGAGAAATTTTTGCAATCTACCCATCTGACAAAGGTCTAATGTCCAGAATCTACAAGGAATTTAAACAAAATTACAAGCAAAAAACAACCTCATCAAAAAGTAAGCAAAGGATATGAACAGACACTTTGCAAAAGAAGACATTTATGCGGTCAACAAACATGAAGAAAAGCTCAACATCACTGATCATTAGAGAAATGCAAATCAAAACCACAATGAGATACCATCTCATGCCAGTCAGAATGGCTATTATAAAAAGTCAAGAAACAAGATACTGGTGAGGCCGTGGAGAAATAGGAACACTTTTACACTGTTGGTGGGAATGTAAATTAGTTCAACCATTGTGGAAGACAGTGTGGTGATTCCTCAAGGATCTAGGACCAGAAATACCATTTGCCCCAGCAATTCCATTACTAGAAATATATCCAAAGTAATATAAATCATTCTACTCTAAAGACACATACCTGTATGTTTATCGCAGCACTACTTACAATAGCAAAGACTTGGAAACAACCCAAATGTCCATCAGTGATAGACTGGATAAAGAAAACGTGGTACATATACACCATGGAATACTATGCAGCCATAAGAAGGAATGAAATCATGTCCTTTGCGGGGACATGGATGAAGCTGGAAGCCATCATCCTCAGCAAACTAATGCAGTAACAGAAAACCAAGGTAGAAGGGACTTGCTTTGGACTTGGGCATGTTCTCACTCATAAGTGGGAGTTGAACAATGAGAACACATGGACACAGGGAAGGGAACAACATACACCAGGGCCAGTCGGGGGATGGGGGCTACTGGAGAGGGAGAGCATTAGGACAAATAGCTAATGCATTGGGCTTAAAACCTAGATGACGGGAGGATAGGTTCAGCAAACCCTCATGGCACACATATACCTATGTGACAAACCTACACATTCTGCACTTGTATCCTGGAACATGATGTAAAACTATTTTTTAAAAAAAAATGCTAAAACATTTAAAAATATTCACTTCCTTATGAAATTGGAATACCCAGAGATAGAGAGCGCTTCAGTCTCATTCAGTTCCAGTGGCCTAGAATCTTTTCATGTGCTTATCTGCTGTTGTTGGCTGGTCTCAAACTTTTGATCTCAAGTCATCAGCCTGCTTCAGCTTCCCAAAGTGCTGGTATTACAGGCATTAGCCACTGCACTTGATCTCACTTTTCAATTAAGGCTTCCAAAAGTGACCTTCTTTTTATTTGGATATGAATGAGTAAGCATAAAGTGTGAAGAGTTGTTGGCAATTATCTTGCTACCATGAGAAGGAGCCCAACTTGCTGTTCTCGTGATGGTGAATGAGTTATCACAAGATCTGATGGTTTAAAAGTGTGTGACACTTCCCCCTTTTTTTCTCTCTCTCTCTTCTGCTCCACTATGTTAAGATGTTGTTGCTTCCTCTTCGCTTTCCACCATAATCATAAGTTTCCTGATGCCTCCCACCCATGCTTCCTGTTAAGTCTGTGGAACTGCGAGTTAATTAAACCTCTTTTCTTCATAAATTACCTAGTCTCAGGTAGTTATTTATAGCAGTGACAGAACGAACTAATACAGAAAATTGGTACCAGGAGAGTGGGCACTGCCATAAAGACACCTGAAAATGTGGAAGTGGCTTTGGAACTGGGTAATGGGCAGAGGTTGGAATAGTTTGGAGGGCTCAGAAGAAGACAGGAAAATGCAGGAATGTTTGCAACTTCCTAGAGACTTGTAAATGGTTTTGACCAAAATGCTGATAGTAATATGGACAAGGAAGTCCAGGCTGAAGAGGTCTCCAGTGGAGATAAGGAACTTACTGGGAACTGGAGTAAAGGTCACCCTTGCTATACTTTAGCAAAGAGACTGGTGGCATTGTGCCCCTACTCTAGACATCTGTGGATCATGAAAGCAGATGTGGGGGCTGTACCTTGCAGAGCCACAGGTTAGTGCTGCCTAAGGCCATTGGAACCCTCCCCTTGTACTCAACATGCCCTAGATGTGAGACATGGAGTCAAAGGAGATTATTGTGGAGCTTTAAGATTTAATGACTGCCCTGCTGGGTTTGAAATTTGCATACGGCTTGTAGGCCCTTTGTTTTGGCCAATTTATCCCTTTTGGAATGAGAGTATTTACCCAGTGCCTGTACCCCCATTGTATTTTGGAAGTAACTAGTTTTTTATTTTACAGGTTCATAGGTGGAAGGGACTTTTTTTTTTTTTTTTTTTTTTGTGAGACAGAGTCTCGCTCTGTCACCAGACTGGAGTGCAGTGGCACGATCTTGGCTCACTGAAACCTCCACCTCCTGGGTTCAAGTGATTCTCCTACCTCAGCCTCCAGAGTAGCTGGGATTACAGGCACGTGCCACATGCCTAGCTAATTTTTGTATTCTTAGTAGAGACTGGGTTTCACTATGTTGGCCAGTATGGTCTCAATCTCTTGACCTCTAGGTCTGCCTGCCTTGGCCTCCCAAAGTACTGGGATTACAGGCATAAGCTACCGTGCCTGGCCAGAAGGGACTTTCTTTGGACTTGGACTTTTGACTTAATACTGGAATCAGTTAAGACTTTAGGAGACTGTTGGGAAGGCATGATTGATTTGAAAATGTGAAAGAACGTGAGATTTGGGAGGGGTCAGGGGCAGAATGATATGGTTTGGCTCTGTGTCCCTACCCAAATCTCACATTGAAATGTAATCCCCACACGTCAGAGGAGTGGCCTGGTGGGAGGTGATTGGATCATGGGGGAGACTTCTCCTTTGCTGTTCTCATGACAGTGAGTGAGTTTTCTGATAGTTTAAAAGTGTGTGGCACTTCCCCCTTTGCTCTTTCTCTCTCCTACTCTGCCATATTAAGATGTGTTTGCTTCTCCTTCACCTTCTGCCATGATCATAAGTATCCTGAGGCCTGCCAGTCATGCTTCTTGTTGAGCCTGCACAACTGTGAGTCCATTCTACCTATTTTTTCATAAGTTACCCAGTCTCAGATAGTTCTTTATAGCAGTGTAAGAATGGACTAATACAAACCTCTTCTTACCATATCTTTATCTGAAAAGTAGAAATAATAACAGAACCTACCTCAAATAAATATTGTGATGATTAAATGAGTTAATCAATATAAGTTTGCTTAGAAAATGCCTAGTACATAGTAACTGCTACAAGTGTTGTAGTTATTTTTCTTGTTGTTATTGTATCATTTAGGTTAAGAAACTCAGAAAACATCTAGATAGACTACTTGAGTTTTAAAATTATTTAAAATGTAGTTACAGCAAAAATGAAGTTTTGTAAGTATACAGTTTCATGAGTTTTAACAGTTTACAGATACGTGTAACCACCAACACAAAAAGGACGTAGAACAATTCTCACATGTCCTCCCCTTTATGGTGAGATAGACCCTGTAACTGGTGATTGGTTTCCTGTCCCTGAAGTGTGGCCTTTTCTAGAATGTTATATAAATGGAATCATATAATATACAGGATTTGGGACTAGCTTCTTTCACTCAGTCTAATACCTTTGAGATTCATTAATTTGTTACATGTATCAATAATTTGTTCATTTTAATTGCTGAATAGTGTTCGTTGTAAGGATGTAAAAAACAGTTTGTTTATCCATTTGTCCTTTGAAGTACATGGAAGTTATTTCTAGATTTTTGGCAGTTTCTAGATTTTAGCTTGTATATAGTTTGTGAAAAAAAATTATTTGTCTAGAGAAATGAAGCTACACTAGTACAATCAGTTAGTGTGTTGTACTTAGATGGAAGTAGTCCTAGGAGTGGGATGACCAGGTCAAATGGTAAATGTATGTTTACCTGAATGAGAAACTTCTACACTATATTCATTGTGTTTACACCATTTCATATTGGCATCAGCAATGAATCAATATGCTAGTTGTTTTATATTTTGTCTAGCAATTTGTAAAAAATATTAGGCATTCTAATAGGTGCAGAGTACTGTGTAATTGTGGTTTTAATTTGCATTTATGGATGTGATAGCTAATGATGTTGAGAATCTTTTCATGTACTTATTTGCCATTGTTATGTCTTTGGTGAAATGTGTGTTTGCCCATTTGCGGGACAGGGTTGTTTGTTTTCTTACTGTAGCGTTTTGAGGGTTCTTCTTGTATTCGGGATACAAGATCTTAGTCATATACGTGATTTACAAATGTTTTCTTCCAGTCTGTAGTTTGTGAGACAATTTCTGCACTCTCTTCAGTTTCCACGAACTATATGTCTTTCACTTTACCAGTACCACTCTGTATTGTTTAGCTTTAAGTGTTAAAATTGTATACTGAGAGTTCTCCAATTTTATTCTTTTTTCAGAATTGTATCCTATGTTTAGTTTCATTTCCTTTTCATATACAGTTTAGAATCTACTTGTGTATATCTACAAAAAAATCCCTGTTAGATTTGAATGAAAATGCATTAAATCTATTGACTAATTGGTAAGGAAATGATGCCTTTATTATACTGAGTCTTAAAATTCATGAAAATGGAGTATCTTTCCAAGTATGTGGGTTTTAAAAATGTCTTTATCAGCATTTTGCAGTTTCAGAATTATACAAGAATTTTTTTAAATTAATTGCTAAGTATTTTCTCCAAGTTATGGTAAAGGAGATTTACATGCCTTCTTTTTAAACCATTCATTTCAATACTGTTCACTTTTATGTCTTGGAAGATGTTTCCAATGGCTATTTTAAAGTCTTTGCTTCTAGTAATTCCAACATGTTTGTCATCTTGGTGTCTGTTGATCATCTTTTTCCTTGAAAATTATTTTTAATACTATTAGTTCTGGTTTATAATTTAAGCCAGTTTATGTATCAGTGCTGTTCAGATTGTCCTGGAAGAGTATTCCCTTTGATTGTCTCTTTGTCTTGCTCGCTTTTCTCTCTAAGATACCAAAAAAATACATGAAGACAGCAGTGAGGCATTTATGGGATTTATAAAGGAATTGACTTAGGATCTTGAAGAATGTATTCTGGTCTCCTGAGCAATGTTCCTTTCCTCATCCCCAGTTGCTGATTGTCCTGTGTGCAATTGCCTCTGAAGGTAGTGGTGAGAAAAGCTCAGAAGATCAGAGTGTAAGATCTCTTGGCTTGATAAGAAACCAGGAATTACCTTTATTTGTTCCAACCTCATCTCCACTCTAGCTGGTTGTAGGCATTTGAGTCTCTGTCATCCTTCATGTAGCTGTCTGTCCTGGCTGTCCATCCCGGCGTCTTCTGTGAGGTCCACTTGCTGTGCCTTGGCAGATTCTATGGCAGGCTTTCTGGCTCTCAGATCAAGGCTTATACCTCCTGGCTAAATGAGCACACCTGAGGAATGTTTAATTTCAAAGCCTTCCCCTTCCTAGATTTATTGTTGCATCAACTTAATGTGGTCCTGTCCTAGGCCAGTGCAGAAAGAAGCTAAACTGTGATGTCTTTACAGAATATTAAACAGGAAAGTAGAGTCTTGTGGTCTTAGTTATACCCTATTTACATAAGGCACAGCCCCTTTTCTTGGCTGAAGGTGTAAGTCAGACACATAAGCATGACTATTTCATTTTCCAATCCCTTGCTATTTTTTCTTCCCGTATTCTTCCAGGGATGAGAATCGGGCCAGTTTCCTCCCTTGCTCAGAGTATTTGGTCCTCACTTATGCAAAATTCTGTCTATCTTAGACATGTGTATTGGTTACCTACTGCAGCATAGTACTATTATCACAAATTTAGCAGCTTAAAACAACACATATTTATTACCTCATGGCTTCTGTGGGTCAATATTTCAGGCACAGCTTCCCCGAATGCTCTAAATGGTTGTAGCCATAGTGTCAGCTGAAGCTATAGTCTCATCTGAGGTTTGGCTTGGGGAGGATCCACTCCAAAACTCACTCAGGTTGTTGGCATAACTCAGTTGATTACATATGTACAACTCAGGGCTTTAGTGTTTTACTGTGAACTAGAGAGGGCCTTCAGCTCCTAGCAGCCACCCACAGTTTCTTTTGAGGTAGATTTCCAACATGGTCACTTGCTTCCTCAAAGCCAATAAAGGAGAGAGACTCCAGCAAGTGTGGTGCTATAATCTTTGTAATGTAATTACATAATTATATACAACTAATTGCATACATCTCACTGTATTCACTACATTCTGTTTTCTAGAAGTAAGTCACAAGTCCTATTTACACTCAAGGAGAGGCACTCACACAGGGCAGAATGGTGGAAGGTGGGAATTGCGGGTGTCACCTGATGAGTCTGTCCATCATGATATGAAAAATAACTTAGTTATTTTTCAAGACAAATGCTGGAATCTAGAGATTAATTTCTTTCTAGAAAATATATTTTTGAATATTATAAACTCAATATTATCTCATTTTTCCTCTCTAAATTTATAGTTTAATATTCATACTTCTAGGCAAATACCCTAGATCCCATAGGTCAGAAATCATGTACTCACGCCATCAAGATTGAAAAGCATAGTAATAATATATTGAAAATTATTTATAGATCCAGAAATGTACTCAAAATTTCTAAACCTAACTGGATATGAAACAGCACAGTTTCAAATTATTTCTTTCCTCATCCAAAATGCCTTTTTTATCTTTATATTCTGGTGAAATCTTACTGATATTTAAAGGCCAGGCCATTGTGTCATTTCCAACTAAAGACATACCTGGGCACTCCCAGGTACCATGGCCACCCTTGGCGGAATTAATACATCTTCTAGGTTTCCATAGCACTTGTTTCTATTTCTAATAGGGCACTTACCATATTGTTATAATGTAAGATCTAACTTTTGGTCTTACATGCTAGATTCTTAAAATCTTGAATCTTGGTTTTGGGTGATCTTTTTATTCACTGATTTAAGACAGTGCATTTAGTAACTATTAGAATATTTTAATAAAAGCATAATATCCATATTTTGTGATTTTAAGTTAAAAAATGTCACTAGAAGTTCAAGTTCTTATTTACTATGTGCATTGAATTAAAATTAGTCCATTTTATCTGTAAACTAGAGAAACGGGCTCCAAAATTGCAAATTGAGGACTCACGTTTTATTGACAAAATGTTTGTTTTCCCATGCCATTAGTGTAATTTCTTACTAGTGGGAGAATTTCTCCTTATAACATTTTTTTATAATTTTATGTGTGTATTTTTGGTAATACATATCTTAGTCCAATACTATCTATATCAGCCCATGGTAATGGTTCAAGTCAATAAAATGTGGACAGAAGCAATGTATGCCACTTACAGGTCAATAGGAAAAATAAATTTCCACTTTTTATTGACTTTATTTTCTTCTATACATAGTGGTATCAAAAGATGAACAGTCTGGGTCCTGAATAACTGCAATAAAGCAAATCATTCCTTCTCATTTACCGCTTGTGCAGACCATACTGTATTGAGGAAGCAGTAGACCTTCATTTTGTTAAGCCTCTGTGATTTGAGTACTGTTTGTTAAAATAGTTAGCTTACATTGACTAATGCACAAATAAAAATAGTTATTTCTTAAATATGTGAGAAGATAATCTAACAGTATTTCAGATGACAAAGAGTCTGATTAATGATGGGTGACATATGTCATTTATCAGGTTAGGCAATTATTAATATTACATATGCCACAGAATTTTAAAATGTTGACCTATTTATGTTTAATTTTACCCCCTTTGGCTAAATCCAGCATAGCAAAAGTTAAAACTTTGCAGAAATGGCAAAGAAGAAAAATATATTTGTTGTGTCCTAGGTTTGAGAAGTAAGATCCAGAGGTATTTCTTCATGTTTGCAAAGGGTAACCAGGGATAAATAAATATACTAAGGCAAGTGCACTGTGTTACTCAGATGAATGTTTCAAGTCTTTTTTTTTTTTTCCTGTGGGGTCCTAAAGAGGTAAAAAAATTGAAAGTAGAACTTTTTTCATGATTCCCATTTATATGGCCTATCAACAAGATCACACTACCATTAATTATCTAGAAGATACTGTTCCTATTATGTCCACAGGGACTTACTCAACAACATGATAGATTTCACTGTCAGTGCATTTTTTCTCCTGTAATAGACTGTATTTCTTTTTCTTTAATTTTATCCTAATAGTGCTGGCTCCTTCACTTCCCCGGCTTCCTTTCCTCCTTAAAGAAAGGTAAAACAATTTTCTTTTTTCTTTAAAGGAACTGGCAAAGCTTAACTAGAACATACCCTCAAATATTCCTCATCTTAAGTAAATACAATATATTGTAGACTGGCCTTTGTGAATTATATGAAGTATAAGTACATGATTTATTAGTCAATTTTTTTTTAGCGATGGAACATTCATTCTATAAAGTTTAAATTTGGGGACTAAAAAGCAACACTTCAAAACTATCTGAAGCAGTGGTAGCTTTCTTAAGGAATGATGTACACTTTGAGAACTGTTGTCTTTTTTGTCTGTTCTATGTATGAGGTAGAGGGCATTGCATTTCTCATCTTTGTTGGGCAAAAGGTGAGAAATTCCTCAGAGCATTAAGAGAGCCCTTAGGAGAATTATTCATAAAGTTTGGAGTTTCCCCTGGAAAAAGAGGCATATCACTCACTTTACTTCAGAATGGTGGCCTCTGTGCTGCATGGAACCTGAGTGATGCAGTATGAAAACTGTTAAGAGAAACTGAAAATGTGATGTGTGTCCTGGAATTTGTCATATATATTTGCTTTCCATGTGGATAATTTTGAAAACAGAAGCCTCATTGCATCATCTTTCAATGACAAGGCAATAGGAAGAGAATAGCTTAAGGTCAAGTTCCAGCTTTTGCAATAGGGAAGATACACAATCTTTACCTCCATAAAATAACTGTAAAATGAAACAATAAATATTGTTTTCATTATTATAATTATCAGGTAAGGAGTAAGGATTAGATGGGAATGGCAGAATATTGATAATTGTTGAAGCTGACTGATGAATACTTGGATTTCATTATACCATTTTTGGTTGTTTGTATATAGTTGATCCTTCCTTCCTTCCTTCCTTCCTTCCTTCCTTCCTTCCTTCCTTTTTCTTTCTTTTTTTGGAGACAGGGTCTCACTGTGTTGCCCAGGCTGGAGTATAGTAGCATGTTCTTGGCTCACTGCAACCTCTGCCTCCCAGGCTCAAGCGATTCTCCCACCTCAGCCTCCTGAGTAGCTGGAACCACAGGCTCGGCTCGTGCCACCACATCCCACTAAATTTTTGTATTTTTGGTAGAGACGGGGTTTCACTATGCTGACCAGGCTGGTATCAAACTCCTGACCTCAGGTGATCTGCCCGCCTTAGCCTCCCAAAATTCTGGGATTACAGGCATGAACCACCATGCTTGGCCTAGAATTTGTTTTAATAAAACAGTTTTTATGAAAGAGTCAAACATCAGCTGTATGAGAAGTTGAGTATAAGGAACTAAACGTGGCTGTAAGGAGTCCAGTAGATGATCGAAGTTAGATGCTAGGCGATGGTGAATTGATGTGTGGAAATAGTGGTGGAGGTAGTAAGAAATGAATGGAATTGTGATATATTGGGAAGTTAGAGCCAATGTTATTTCATAATGAAGTCTATGTAATGTGACTGAAAGAGAACGTTTATGACTTTCCATCTATACTTTTCTTTTATTTTTTTGTACTTAAAGTTGAACTTATTAGTTTAGCAATATTTTCCCTCAAACTATGGTATTTCCTAAGACCTACGGCTAGAGGAATGAACATTTACAAAAAGACAGTTAAGCCTACCTTAAAGACTGAAAATGGTTCACCAATGTTGGAGTTGCCCAATTTTAAGTGAGAAAAGTGACCTTTTACTACAAACTGGCTCTGCAGCTGTCTTTAGGATTATGTGTGATCACCTTTAGATAATTATCAGTATTATATTTCACTTCACTGTTTCTAAGGATTTGTAAACATTTTATAGACTAATCTATATATTTGTTTGCTATAATTCAGGATAATAGAACTTCAATTTCAAATAATTGTAATTGCAACCTTAATAACTTTGAACAATTGAGTAAATGTGGAGGAGAAAACTGGGAGCCTACTGTGGCTATTGTCCCCAAGATGAGTGGGCCTAAGTTCAGTATGTGATATATAAAAGGGCTTTATGAACTCCAGTTTCATCTCAAGAGCTTAGCCTATTGTTTGGAATTTAGTAGAATTGGAGATATTAGACAATTCTTGAATTAAGTTGGACTTGCAGTTCAATGATTTTTGCAATAAAATATTGGAAGAAGGATGATAGTCAGTGGCTAGGGTACTCATTAATAGAAGCAAGCTTTGTTTGGATAAAAGCTACTGGTTTATGTGAATTTTAAAGGCAGGGCTCCAATTTATGCATGAATTATGTAAACAAACGTTCAAGTATTAAGTCAACTCCTTAATGCGGCATTCATTCCACCCTGTTTCTCTAAAATCACTATATTTTATTGTATTAATAGAATGTTCCATAGTTTGCTGTTATTGCACATTTATAGCATGTACCATAAGTTGCAATTTGCAATTATTTTCTTATTATATGTCTCCTTCTCTTAGAATATAAGCCCACAAGAGAAACGACCTTGCTCACTGTGCTAGTCCATTCTCACACTGCTGTGAAGAAATACTCAAGACTGGGTAATTTATAAAGGAAAGAGGTTTAATTGACTCACAGTTCCACATTGCTGGAAAGGCCACAGGAAACTTAGTCATGGTGGAAGGCAAAGGAGAAGCAAGCACCTTCTTCATAGGGTGGCAGGACAGAGTGAGTGTAAGCAAGGGAAATGCCAGACACTCATAAAATCATCAAATCTCCTGAGGGTCACTCATTATCACAAGAACAGCATGGGGAAAACCACCTCCATGTTCCAATCACCTCCACCTGGTCCAACCCTTGACATGTGGGGATTATAGGGATTGTAGTTCAAGATGAGATGTTGGATGGGGACACAGCCAAGCAATATCATTCACCTTATCTATACTTATATCACAATCATGTAGAATAATTTCTGGTGCAGAGTAAGTATTCTATAAATAATCACTGAAGTAATGGTAATTCGAACCTCAGCCGTTTACTAGCACACACACAGGGTTAAAAAAATTCTCGCTGGTCAAATCTCCTTGAAAACATGCTATTGATAGACCTCTTGACACACTAATGTAATTTGTTTGTGAGAGAACATGTATCTGTGAAAGTCTTTTAGCAGGATGTACTTGTTCTGTCAAGTTTTACTTATACAATCCTGGAATCTGTATTTATGGGACATAACTTCCTGAAATATTTCACATAAACTCTCAAAGTATTGGAGAGAGATGTTTCACAACCAAAATAGCTGCCTTTTATATAAGCAATATGGCTATATATGTTACTTAGAAAACTAATATGTTACTTCTGAGTCAAAGAGCATCCTAATGTGGCAAGAAAAACCTGGGAGTGCAACACTGGCAATCCTGCATCTCTCTCTGCTTTGCCCATGCCTCACAATTATACTTGAAATACTTGGAATTACTGGATAAGATCCCTGGTTCTTCTGAGTCTAATTTAAAAGTCAATTTCTGTTATCTTTCTTAGGGAGGTGGTCAATACAGTAAAAGTAATGGAAGGCTGTTAGTCTGAGGCTGTTATAAATATAGTACACAAGAAGTTTAGGGGATGGCTGGGCTAAATTTGCTGGTTCAAGATAGAACCTTCATGTGAAAGGGCCTCAGAAATCTCCTTACTGTCATTTAAAATAATTCCTGTGTATCTATTCTTGTACAGTCCAATTGAATTTCAAAATAATATTCAGATAGCTTTATAATTATATTTTAAATTGGGGATTGTTGAATTCAAACTTATGTAATTATTTGACATCAAAAGCAAAGAGAGCAGGTAATAAACTCATGAATAGGAATATCTTATGTAAGCAAGACTTTCATTCTTTTTAGAAAACAAACTTACCCATTTTGCAGCATTAAATTTCACACCTGAAGCACAGAACTGTATACTCTCATAGTACATATTTGTCTTCAAATAAATGATTTGTCCTAAGCCTTCATTGGTATATGATAACTTAGCTGGTAGCTACTGTTCTCAGCAGCCACCAGAGGCCAGATAGAAGAGCTGCCACACGGGATTCACCTGTAAGGGTTCTTCCACATGGCCTTGCATTCGGGCTTCAGACTGAAAACTTTAGTGATAAAACCACAATGTGAAAGCTCAAGAGTGTTTAGTATTTACAGATCGTGGGAGATACAAGTCACGCCCAGAGGCCACACAGGGAGGTCAGGAATCACGTGGAAGAGAGAAGACATGTGAAAACTAGCAGTATGCATTGGAGAATAGGATGTAGGTCAGTTTAAGTTTATGGGCGAACGCCTATAAGGAACCTTTAAAGGAAGCAACAGAAAAGCAGGGAGTCTGCTAGGCAGAAGTCTGCTAGGCAGAAGAGATGCCTAAGTTTTTATCTCTGACCACCAGTTTGAAACATTTGGGTATGGTGTAAAACTGGAAATTGTGTCAAGGGTGACTAAGCCTTGACATGAGCAGGCTAAACCTATATTCAAAGTGGATGCTGATGCAACATGAAATTATTAGCATCCACTTCAGTTGGTCCATAAAACTACATGTTTAATTGTTGCAAATAATAATCAGAACTGTTATGCATATTTATAGGCTACAACGTACATTCACAAACACAACCTCCTTTGCTTCTTACAAAAATTTTAATACAATAACTGTTGTCCCAATTACATCAGTTAAAATCATTGAATTTGTGTGTCCAGTTATTTTAGTTCAAAATAAAAGACTATTTCTAGTTTATTATTGTTCTAGGTCAACCCTTCTTAACTTCAGAATGAGTGTACATGAATACCTTCTACGTCTACATACTTTAGTTCAGAAAAAATTCTAAATACACAAATGTTTATGTAATAATTCACTCGTTTATGTACTATTTATAATAATAAAAATTAAAACATCTTAATACAAGAATGACAAATGGATATATAATATGTTGACTTAAACTAATGTCTACAAAAGTTGTAAAGCATAATATAAATTTCATGAATGTAATAATGAGAGAACTAAGTAGGAAGCCACATTTGTGTAAATATGTGTAATTAATTTACTTAAAGTAGCCAAAGAAAAAAGTATAGCAGAGAGTATAACATAATGTTAAAACAATTTGTCTCTTAGTAGTGAGATTATAGGTAATCTAAATATATATCCTCATAGTTTTGAATTGTTAAATTTTCTTTTATTTTTAATTTAAATGCATAGTTTAATGCTATTTTATATTTTATTTTCCCAGATTTATTTAGATATAAGTGGACAAATAATAACTGTGTATATTTAAGGTATACAATATGATGTTCTGATATACATTGTGAAATGATTACCACTATCAAGCTAATTATGACACTCATCATCTCACTTTTTCTTTTTGGTATTTAGAATACTTAAGATCTATTCTGTTAGTAAATTTCAAGTAGATAATATATTATTATTATTATCTGTAGTCACCATGCTATATACTAGGTACCAAGAACTTACTCATATTGTAACTTAAAGTTTGCACCCTTTAATAAAAATCTTTCCATTTCTCTCATCCCTTAAGTCCTGATAACCACATTTATACTTTCTGTGAGTTTGAATATTTTAATTCTACATATCAACAGATCTTGCAGTATTTGTCTTTCTGTGTTTGCTTATTTCAGTTAGTGTAATGTCCTCCAAATTCACTCAAGTGTTCACAAATGGCAAAATTTCCTTTTTTTTTTTTTAAGTGAGTAAAAACTTTATTACTTGATGTTCAGAAGCCCACCCTGATCAAAATATTTTTTTTTATTATACTTTAAGTTTTAGGGTACATGTGCACATTGTGCAGGTTAGTTACATATGTATACATGTGCCATGCTGGTGTGCTGCACCCACTAACTCGTCATCTAGCATTAGGTATATCTCCCGATGCTATCCCTCCCCCCTCCCCCCACCCCAAAATAGTCCCCAGAGTGTGATGTTTCCCTTCCTGTCTCCATGTGTTCTCATTGTTCAGTTCCCACCTATGAGTGAGAATATGCGGTGTTTGGTTTTTTGTTCTTGCGATAGTTTACTGAGAATGATGATTTCCAATTTCATCCATGTCCCTACAAAGGACATGAACTCATAAATTTTTATGGCTGCATAGTATTCCATGGTGTATATGTGCCACATTTTCTTAATCCAGTCTATCATTGTTGGACATTTGGGTTGGTTCCAAGTCTTTGCTATTGTGAATAGTGCCGCAATAAACATACGTGTGCATGTGTCTTTATAGCAACATGATTTATAGTCCTTTGGGTATATACCCAGTAATGGGATGGCTGGGTCAAATGGTATTTCCAGTTCTAGATCCCTGAGGAATCACCACACTGACTTCCACAATGGTTGAACTAGTTTACAGTCCCACCAACAGTGTAAAAGTGTTCCTATTTCTCCACATCCTCTCCAGCACCTGTTGTTTCCTGACTTTTTAATGATTGCCATTCTAACTGGTGTGAGATGGTATCTCATTGTGGTTTTGATTTGCATTTCTCTGACGGCCAGTGATGATGAGCATTTTTTCATGTGTTTTTTGGCTGCATAAATGTCTTCTTTTGAGAAGTGTCTGTTCATGTCCTTCGCCCACTTTTTGATGGGGTTGTTTGTTTTTTTCTTGTAAATTTGTTTGAGTTCATTGTAGATTCTGGATATTAGCCCTTTGTCAGATGAGTAGGTTGCAAAAATTTTCTCCCATTTTGTGGGTTGCCTGTTCACTCTGATGGTAGTTTCTTTTGCTGTGCAGAAGCTCTTGAGTTTAATTAGATCCCATTTGTCAATTTTGTCTTTTGTTGCCATTGCTTTTGGTGTTTTAGACATGAAGTCCTTGCCCATGCCTATGTCCTGAATGGTAATGCCTAGGTTTTCTTCTAGGGTTTTTATGGTTTTAGGTCTAACGTTTAAGTCTTTAATCCATCTTGAATTGATTTTTGTATAAGGTGTAAGGAAGGGATCCAGTTTCAGCTTTCTACATATGGCTAGCCAGTTTCCCCAGCACCATTTATTAAATAGGGAATCCTTTCCCCATTGCTTGTTTTTCTCAGGTTTGTCAAAGATCAGATGGTTGTAGATATGTGGCGTTATTTCTGAGGGCTCTGTTCTGTTCCATTGATCTATATCTCTGTTTTGGTACCAGTACCATGCTGTTTTGGTTCCTGTAGCCTTGTAGTATAGTTTGAAGTCAGGTAGTGTGATGCCTCCAGCTTTGTTCTTTTGGCTTAGGATTGACTTGGCGATGCGGGCTCTTTTTTGGTTCCATATGAACTTTAAAGTAGTTTTTTCCAATTCTGTGAAGAAAGTCATTGGTAGCTTGATGGGGATGGCATTGAATCTGTAAATTACCTTGGGCAGTATGGCCATTTTCACGATATTGATTCTTCCTACCCATGAGCATGGAATGTTCTTCCATTTGTTTGTATCCTCTTTTATTTCCTTGAGCAGTGGTTTGTAGTTCTCCTTGAAGAGGTCCTTCACATCCCTTGTAAGTTGGATTCCTAGGTATTTTATTCTCTTTGAAGCAATTGTGAATGGGAGTTCACTCATGATTTGGCTCTCTGTTTGTCTGTTGGTGGTGTATAAGAATGCTTGTGATTTTTGTACATTGATTTTGTATCCTGAGACTTTGCTGAAGTTGCTTATCAGCTTAAGGAGATTTTGGGCTGAGACGATGGGGTTTTCTAGATATGCAATCATGTCATCTGCAAACAGGGACAATTTGACTTCCTCTTTTCCTAATTGAATACCCTTTATTTCCTTCGCCTGCCTAATTGCCCTGGCCAGAACTTCCAACACTATGTTGAATAGGAGTGGTGAGAGAGGGTATCCGTGTCTTGTGCCAGTTTTCAAAGGGAATGCTTCCAGTTTTTGCCCATTCAGTATGATATTGGCTGTGGGTTTGTCATAGATAGCTCTTATTATTTTGAAATACGTCCCATCAATACCTAATTTATTTAGAGTTTTTAGCATGAAGGGTTGTTGAATTTTGTCAAAGTCTTTTTCTGCATCTATTGAGATAATCATGTGGTTTTTGTCTTTGGCTCTGTTTATATGATGGATTACATTTATTGATTTGTGTATATTGAACCAGCCTTACATCCCAGAGATGAAGCCCACTTGATCATGGTGGATAAGCTTTTTGATGTGCTGCTGGATTCGTTTTGCCAGTATTTTATTGAGGATTTTTGCATCAATGTTCATCAAGGATATTGGTCTAAAATTCTCTTTTATTGTTTTGTCTCTGCCTGGCTTTGGTATCAGAATGATTCTGGCCTCATAAAATGAGTTAGGGAGGATTCCCTCTTTTTCTATTGATTGGAGTAGTTTCAGAAGGAATGGTACCAGTTCCTGCTTGTACCTCTGGTAGAATTCGGCTGTGAATCCATCTGGTCCTGGACTCTTTTTGGTTGGTAAGCTATTGATTATTGCCACAATTTCAGCTCCTGTTATTGGTCTATTCAGAGATTCAACTTCTTCCTGGTTTAGTCTTGGGAGAGTGTATGTGTCCAGGAATTTATCCGTTTCTTCTAGATTTCCTAGTTTATTTGCGTAGAGGTGTTTGTAGTATTCTCTGATGGTAGTTTTTATTTCTGTGGGATCGGTGGTGATATCCCCTTTATCATTTTTTATTGCGTCTATTTGATTCATCTCTCTTTTTTTCTTTATTAGTCTTGCTAGCAGTCTGTCAATTTTGTTGATCCTTTCAAAAAACCAGCTCCTGGATTCATTAATTTTTTGAAGGGTTTTTTGTGTCTCTATTTCCTTCAGTTCTACTCTGATTTTAGTTATTTCTTGCCTTCTGCTAGCTTTTGAATGTGTTTGCTCTTGCTTTTCTAGTTCTTTTAATTGTGATGTTAGGGTGTCAATTTTGGATCTTTCCTGCTCTCTCTTGTGGGCATTTAGTGCTATAAATTTCCCTCTACACACTGCTTTGAATGCGTCCCAGAGATTCTGGTATGTTGTGTCTTTGTTCTCGTTGGTTTCAAAGAACATCTTTATTTCTGCCTTCATTTCGTTATGTACCCAGTAGTCATTCAGGAGCAGATTGTTCAGTTTCCATGTAGTTGAGCGGTTTTGAGTGAAATTCTTAATCCTGAGTTCTAGTTTGATTGCACTGTGGTCTGAGAGATAGTTTGTTATAATTTCTGTTCTTTTACATTTGCTGAGGAGAGCTTTACTTCCCAGTATGTGGTCAGTTTTGGAATAGGTGTGGTGTGGTGCTGAAAAAAATGTATATTCTGTTGATTTGGGGTGGAGAGTTCTGTAGATGTCTATTAGGTCCGCTTGGTGCAGAGCTGAGTTCAATTCCTGGGTATCCTTGTTGACTTTCTGTGTCATTGATCTGTCTAATGTTGACAGTGGGGTGTTAAAGTCTCCCATTATTAATGTGTGGGAGTCTAAGTCTCTTTGTAGGTCACTCAGGACTTGCTTTATGAATCTTGGTGCTCCTGTATCGGGTGCATATATATTTAGGATAGTTAGCTCTTCTTGTTGAATTGATCCCTTTACCATTATGTAATGGCCTTCTTTGTCTCTTTTGATCTTTGTTGGCTTAAAGTCTGTTTTATCAGAGACTAGGATTGCAACCCCTGCCTTTTTTTGTTTTCCATTTGCTTGGTAGATCTTCCTCCATCCTTTTATTTTGAGCCTATGTGTGTCTCTGCACGTGAGATGGGTTTCCTGAATACAGCACACTGATGGGTCTTGACTCTTTATCCAATTTGCCAGTCTGTGTCTTTTAATTGGAGCATTTAGTCCATTGACATTTAAAGTTAATATTGTTATGTGTGAATTTGATCCTGTCATTATGATGTTAGCTGGTTATTTTGCTCGTTAGTTGATCCAGTTTCTTCCTTGTCTTGATGGTCTTTATATTTTGGCATGATTTTGCAGCGGCTGGTACCGGTTGTTCCTTTCTATGTTTAGTGCTTCCTTCAGGAGCTCTTGTAAGGCAGGCCTGGTGGTGACAAAATCTCTCAGCATTTGCTTTTCTGCAAAGTATTTTATTTCTCCTTCACTTATGAAGCTTAGTTTGGCTGGATATGAAATTCTGGGTTGAAAATTCTTTTCTTTAAGAATGTTGAATATTGGCCCCCACTCTCTTCTGGCTTGTAGGGTTTCTGCCGAGAGATCTGCTGTTAGTCTGATAGGTTTCCCTTTGAGGGTAACCCGACCTTTCTCTCTGGCTGCCCTTAACATTTTTTCCTTCATTTCAACTTTGGTGAATCTGACAATTATGTGTCTTGGAGTTGCTCTTCTCGAGGAGTATCTTTGTGGCATTCTCTGTATTTCCTGAATCTGAACGTTGGCCTGCCTTGCTATGTTGGGGAAGTTCCCCTGGATAATATCCTGCAGAGTGTTTTCCAACTTGGTTCCATTCTCCCCATCACTTTCAGGTACACCAATCAGACGTAGATTTGGTCTTTTCACATAGTCCCATATTTCTTGGAGGCTTTGCTCATTTCTTTTTATTCTTTTTTCTCTAAACTTCCCTTCTCGCTTCATTTCATTCATTTCATCTTCCATCGCTGATACCCTTTCTTCCAGTTGATCGCATCAGCTCCTGAGGCTTCTGCATTCTTCACGTAGTTCTGGAGCCTTGGTTTTCAGCTCCATCAGCTCCTTTAAGCACTTCTCTGTATTGGTTATTCTAGTTATACATTCTTCTAAATTTTTTTCAAAGTTTTCAACTTCTTTGCCTTTGGTTTGAATGTCCTCCCGTAGCTCAGAGTAATTTGATTGTCTGAAGCCATCTTCTCTCAGCTCATCAAAGTCATTCTCCTTCAAGCTTTGTTCTGTTGCTGGTGAGGAACTGTGTTCCTTTGGAGGAGGAGAGGCCCTCTGCTTTTTAGAGTTTCCAGTTTTTCTGTTCTGTTTTTTCCCCATCTTTGTGGTTTTATCTACTTTTGGTCTTTGATGATGGTGATGTACAGATGGGTTTTTGGTGTGGATGTCCTTTCTGTTTGTTAGTTTTCCTTCTAACAGAGAGGACCCTCAGCTGCAGGTCTGTTGGAATACCCTGCCGTGTGAGGTGTCAGTGTGCCCCTGCTGGGGGGTGCCTCCCAGTTAGGCTGCTCGGGGGTCAGGGGTCAGGGACCCACTTGAGGAGGCAGTCTGCCCGTTCTCACATTTCCAGCTGCCTGCTGGGAGAACCACTGCTCTCTTCAAAGCTGTCAGACAGGGATATTTAAGTCTGCAGAGGTTACTGCTGTCTTTTTGTTTGTCTGTGCACTGCCCCCAGAGGTGGAGCCTACAGTGGCAGGCAGGCCTTGAGCTGTGGTGGGCTCCACCCAGTTAGAGCTTCCGGGCTGCTTTTTTACCTAATCAAGCCTGGGCAATGGCGGGCGCCCCTCCCCCAGCCTTGCTGCCGCCTTGCAGTTTGATCTCAGACTGCTGTGCTAGCAATAAACGAGACTCCGTGGGCATAGGACCCTCCGAGCCAGGTACGAGTTATAATCTTGTGGTGCGCCGTTTCTTAAGCCCATCAGAAAAGCGCAGTATTCGGGTGGGAGTGACCCGATTTTTCAGGTGCCTTCTGTCACCCCTTTCTTTGACTCAGAGAGGGAACTCCCTGACCCCTTGCGCTTCCCAAGTGAGGCAATGCCTCGCCCTGCTTCGGCTTGTGCACGGTGCACACACCCACTGACCTGCGCCCACTGTTTCGGCACTCCCTAGTGAGATGAACCCGGTACCTCAGATGGAAATGCAGAAATCACCCGTCTTCTGCGTCACTCACGCTGGGAGCTGTAGACCGGAGCTGTTCCTATTCGGCCATCTTGGCTCCAGTACTCCCAAAATTTCCTTTTTTAAGGCTGAATAATATTCCATCGCATTTTTCTATATCCATTCATCTGTCAATGGACACTTTGGTTATTTCTGTATCTCAGCTATGGTGAATAGTGCTGCAATGAACATGGGATTGCAGGTATCTCTTCAATAAACTGATTTCATTTCCTTTGGATAAATACCCATAAAGTGGAATTGCTGGGTCATATGGTGGTTCTATTTTTAATTTTTTGAGAAAGCTCCATATCATTTTCTGTAATGGCTCTATTGATTTATATTCCCACCAATAGTGCACAATTCTCTTTTCTCCACATACTTGTCAACACTTGTTATTTTTCATCTTTTTCATCGTAGCCATCTTCACAGGTGTGAGATGATACCTCATTGTGGTTTTAATTGCATTTTTCTGATTATTGGTGATATTGAGGAGCCTCCCATGTCTCTGTTGGTCATTTGTATGTCTTCTTTGGAAAAATGTCTATTCAGGTCTTTTGCCCTTTTTTTTTTTTTTTAAATCAAGTTATTTGCTTTTTGGCTCTTGACTTATATGAATTTCTTATTTATTTTGGATATTAGTTCCTTGCCAGTTATATAGTTGGGAAATATTTTCTTCCATTCTGTGAGTTGTCTTTTCATTTTATTATTTGTTTCCTTTGTTGTGCAGAAATGTTTTAGTTTGATGTAGTCTCAGTTGTTTATTTTTTATTTTTCCCTGTGCTTTTGATGACATATCCATGAAATAATTTCCAAGATTTATGTCATGAAGATTTTCTTCTATGTTTTCTTCTAGAAGTTTTATAGTTTCAGGCCTCACGTTTAAACCTTTAATTCTTTAATTCATTTTAAGTTGCCTTTTTTTGGTATAGTGTGAGATAAAGATCTAATTTATCCTTTTTTTCTTTTCTTTCTTTCTTTTTCTTTTTTCTTTTTTTTTTCTTTTTGTTGAGTGCGGATATCCAGTTTTCCAAAAACCATTTAAGGAAGATACTATCTTTTATCCATTGTGTATTCTTGGTGCCTTTCTTGAAAATTAGTTGACTCTATATGTGTAGGTTTATCTTAAGACTTTGTATCCTGTTCCATTAGTCTATGTGTTTTTATGTCAGTGTCATAATGTTTTGATTACTATATCTTCATAATATAATTTTAAATCAGTACATGTAATGCTTTCAGCTTTGTTTGTTCTTCTTAGGATTGTTTCAGCTATTTGGAGTCTTTTATAGTTCCATATACATTTCAGAATTTTTTCTATTTCTTGAAAATTTCCATTGGGATTTTGATAGGGATTGCAACAAATTTGTAGATTACTTTGGTTAGTATTGCTATTTTGACAATATTAATTCTTCCAATCCATGAATGGGATATTGTTCTCTTTTTTTTTTAGGTCAGGGTTTTGCTGTCTCACACATGCACTCCGGCTGGAGTGCAGTTCAGCAATCATATTTTTCTATTTATTTGTGTCTTCCTTAATTTCTTTCACTACTGTTTTCTAGTTTTCAGTGAACAGATCTTTCACCTCCTTGGTCAAGCTTACTCCTAAGTACTTCAGTTTTTAAAATGCTATTGTAGAGCTGCACATGGTGCCTTGTTTCTATAATTCCACCTACTAGGGAGGCTGAGACTGGAGGATTGCTTGAGGACAGGAGTTTGAGACCAGTCAGAGTAATGTAGTAAGACTCTATCTCGAAAAATATATATTTTTTAAATTAGCAGGGTATGGTTGCCCATGCCTGTAATCCCAGCTGTTTGGAAGACTAGGTGGGAGGATCTCTTAAGCCCAGGAGATGGAGGCTGCAGTGAGCTATGATTGTGCCTCTGTGCTCCAGCCTGGTCAACAGTACTAGACCCATCTCTAATTTATATATATATCTTAATTTTTGATTTTTTAGTGCATAGAAAAGGAACTGATTTTTGTAAAATTAACGAATTGACTTTTGAAGTTTGATTCTGTATCCTGAAAATTTACTGAATTTCTTTAATGGTTTTAACAATTTTTGGTAGCGTATTTAAGGTTTTATATACACATAAGATCATGTTATCTGGAAACACCGTTTAACTTCAACCTTTCTGATTTGGATGACTTTTTTTTTTTTCTCATACCTAATTGCACTGACTACGATTTACAATACTATACTGAGTAGAAGTGGTGACAGTGGGCATCCCTTTCTTTTTCATGATCTTAGAGGAAAAGAGTTCAGCTTTTCATCACTGCATATGAAGTTAGCTGTGGGCTTTTCATATATGTCTTTTATTATGTTAAGGTATAACTTAGTAACTTAGTTGACTTCTATAACTAATTTGTTGACAGTTTTTTTAAATCATGAAAGGACATTGAATATTGTTAAATGATTTTCTGCATCTATTGAGATGATATGATTTTTATGTTTTATTCTGTTGATGTAGTATATCACATTTATTGATTTTTATATGTCAAACCATCCTTGCATTATAGGAATAAATCCCACTGTATGATCTTTCTAACATGCTTTTGAATTTGATTTGCTAATACTTTGTTAAAGGTTTTTGCATCTATGTTCATTGGGAAAATTGGCCTATTAGTTTCTTTTCTTGTAATGTCCTTGTCTAACTTTGGTATGAGGTTAATACAGGCTTTTAAAATGAGTTTGGAAGCATTTGCTTTGCTTTAATTTCTTGAAAGAGTTTGAGAAAATTTGGTATTAAATCTTTAATGTTTGGTAGAATTTATCAGTGAAGCCATCAGATACTGGGCTTTACTTTGGTGGGAGTTTTTGTTTTTATTACTAATTCAATCTCCTTGCTTATCATTGGCCTATTCAGATTTTTTAATTCTTCATGATTCAGTTATGGTAGGTTGTATGTGTCTAGGAATGTATGCATTTCTTCTAAATTGTCCAATTTGTTGGTTTATAATTATTCATAGTAGTCCCTTATAATCCTTTGTATTTCTGTGGTATCAGCTGTAATTTATTCTCTTTCACTTGTGATTTTGATTATTTCTGTCTTGCATCATTTTAATTTAGTTAAAATTTTATCAATTTTGTTAATCTTAAAAACTCTTAGTTTATTTTTCTTGCTTTCTATTGTCTCTATTTTATTTATTTCTGCTCTAATCATTATTATTTCCTTTTTTACTACCTTTGGGCTAAGTTTGCTCTTCTTTTTCTAGTTCATTGAAGTGTAAAGTGAAATTGCTTACTTAAGAATTTTCTTTTTTGTCACAGAGATGCTAATTGCTGTGCACTTCCCTCTTGGAACTGCTTTTGCTACAACACATGAACTTTGGTATATTGTGTTTCCATTTCTACCTGTCTCAATACAGTTTTTGACTTGTTTTTACTGTTTGATCCTTTGGTTGTTCAGGTGTAGGTTGTTTAATTTCCACATATTTGTAAATTTTCCTTCCGTTATTGATTTTTAGTTTAATACCATTGTGGTCAAAAGAGACGCTTGACATAATTTTGATTTTCCTAAATTCATTTAGGCTTGTTTTATGGCCTAATATATAATCTATTTTGGAGAATGTTCCCTGAATGCTTGACAAGAATGTATATTCTGCTGCTACTGTTGAAAGAAACATTCTGTATATGCCTGTTTAGTTCATTTGGTCTAACATGTATTTCAAGTTAAATGTTTCCTTATTGATTTTCTGTCTCAACGATCTATCTATTATTGAAAGTAGGGTATTAAAATCCCCTATTATTGCATTGATATTTCTCTCTTCAATTCTGTTAATATTTGCTTTATATATTTAGGAGACTCAATATTGGGTGCATAGACTTAGTTACAATTTTTATATCCTTTTGGTAAATTGACCCCTTTAACATTACATAGTGACCTTCTGTGTCTCCTGTTTTGAAGTAGTCTATTTTGTCTGACATAAATATATATATTATTTCTTTTTTTTTTGGTTTTCATTTGAAATACCATTTTCCATTCCTTCACTTTCAGTCCACGTAAAGCTAAAGTGAGTCTTGTAGGCAGCATATAGTTGGGATAATTTTCTGTAATGAATATAGTATCTTATAATTAGGAAACATAGTTTTTAAAAATATGTAGGAATGTTACATTAATATGTAAACTATGTATTGTAGAAATTTCCATCCTATCATATTAATCAGATAATGGGTTATCAACTAAATGAAGTACAGAGAAATACATACTCATCACAATGATCTCATCATAGGTACTTTTTGTTTAGTTCAGCAGGACAAATAAGGGTCATAAATTTTAACTTTAAAATAAGCTATTGAATTGTACTCACAATAACCACTAGTACTGTTACAAAACAGCGTAAAAGTATGTTGAGTCTGGCATCTTTGTAAAATGGTTTATTAGCAATAAAACAACAGATCAATGGAGGAAACAAGCGTATGCCCGTAGGCAGCAAAGTTAATCCAAATGCATAAATCCTTATGAAGACTTAACAGAGAGTAATAGAAAAGAGCTGAGGGAAAATAAACATAATAGATGAGACTGGCATGATATATCTCAAGTTTATTGCAATATAGTACACGAAGAATGGAAAAAGAGAGCCAAGTGAGAAAAAAAAAATAAAACTAGACAAAGGAAGAAGACAGAACGAAGAAATAAGTTGGTAAACAGTTACAGATTCTTAAAAACAGAGTTCATGCCCTTCTGGGATTTACTTCTACAAAATTTTCTGTGAGTGGCTTTCCCATCTCTTCATTAATGATTCCAGTGACAAAGATCTCACCACTCAAAGGCAGCCCTTTCCACACATGAATGGTTCTAATTATTTTATGAGTGTTCCATATTATTTTTGGTAATTTCAAACATCTTGTAAATTTTACCCATAGGTTCTTATTCTCCAGTAAATTAAATAGAGTACACGTTAAGTATTGTTTTCACCCTGTAGCTCTCCTGATAGGTAAATAAAGCAAATATTGATCTTTCACTTTTTTATTTTATAAATTTCCCTCTCACTTAAGTAGTTGTTATGTATGCTTTTGAAGTGCTCCACTAAAGTGGGCTCCATCTTTAGTGGTGCCACTCATTTAGTAAGGTGCTCCTCTGTCCTTTGCCATTTGCATGTTCTCTGGTTTATCAAAATCTTTCTGAAAATGCAGCTCATTGTCATGAACAAAAAAATTCCACCTATGGTTTTAGCAACTTGAGGTTGAAAGGTACCATAACTTCAGCCAATCCTTATGCTACATTTTTTATGATATTGTAGTCATAGAGCCTGTTAGCATTTTTGACAGCCATATAACATGTTTTACTTATATGTTTTCTGAAATTTAGCATTTCTAATTAAGTCTTTTCACACTTGTGTGGTTAATGTTTTAGTTTTGTGATGACCATACACTTCCTTTTTATTGATTTGGTCTACTGTTCTGAATTTTGTGGCTCCTCATTCTGTTTTTCAAGAAAGTTGTCTCCTATATATTTAAGCTTTCATATTAATTTCTCCTTTGGTACATATGTGTTCTCTGCATTCAAATAAGTGACAGATACATCTTTTGATAGCAAGGAATAATAGCAATGCTCTGTAACAGTCATTAGCTTTCGCCATTGATGAGGTGACTTGCGTTTATATATCCCTGACCACACCTGGTAAATTAGTTAAGCTTTTCATCTTCTCTACAAGAATAATTTGAGAGATTGTTTCAAATTATTTCCTGAATTTTAGAGTTGCTACATTTACTATACATCTTGACTCCTTATTCTACTGTTTATTTTAAAAGAGGAAATGAGGCTAGTATCTTATGACTTGTTTTGGTGAATTCATGTTGGTTCCCATTTATCAAGATCTATCTTTCTGAAACCTCCATTACCTTTCATTTGAAGATGTGTTTTATACATCTCTGAGGATGGTACATTAATCTCAATTCCCTCTGCTTTTAAAAAAATCAGGACTACTTTTGATGGCCATTATTTTTATAGTTCTCTTATGCTTCAAGTTGGTTAGTGGTAATGACTATTATTTATAAAATGTATACTTTTTAAATTTCAAAATAATCCCTTGCAATAAGACATTTTCTTCTTTGCTCCTTCAGATTTTATTGTATAAACATGGAGATAATCTTAGAAAATTTGCTTGGAAATAGGCATCCAGTTAATAAGTAGGACTCATTAAAAACTTTCACCTGGTCCTTTGATCCCAGATTTAGGCAATTTTTCACCTTGCAATAGCTCTCAATTGTAATTGGATAGCCTTATTTATAAGTTTCTAAAGA